>NC_000012.12:69429824-69581340 GCF_000001405.40 Homo sapiens
TGAACCAGAGACTGTGGGAAACAAGCCTCAGAGAAAATGTAAGAGATGAATAATGAAATCCCAGCACTTTGGGAGTCCAAGGCAGGCCAATTGCTTGAGCCCAGGAATTCGAGACCAGCTTGGGCAACATAGTAAGACCCCCATCTCTACTAAAAATAAAAAAATAAAAATTAGCCAGGCATGGTGGCGCATGCCTGTAGTCCCATGTAGTGAGGTGGGAGGATCATTTGATCCTGGGAGGTTGAGGCTACGGTGTGCTGTGATCATGCCACTGCTCTCCAGCCTGGGGGCAGAGTAAGACCCTGTCTCAAAAACAAAAATGAAAATATAAAAAAGAGATGAGTAAGAGGATTGCAAAGGTATAACCCCGTTTTCCCAACACTGTCAATTAATTAGATGCCAGAATTCATAGAAGGAAACCATTAAATGCAAAGGAGGAGTGATTTGAGTTTAAATGTTAAAAAGAAAACTACTGTCCTTTTTATTTAAGTGTGCTAAATCCTAGTGAACTTTCTGGAGGAATAATGATGCCAAAGGAGGAGAATTGTGAAGAAACAGTGGCCTAGGAAAGAAGGAAAATAAGTGGGAAAAACTTTGGATCCGTCAGACAAGAATAGAATGGCTGTAATCTTTAGACTACTAAAATTTTATTTTTATAAAACTACGTTTGTGAACTTGGATAATAAATCTGTGTATAACTGACAATTGGTTGTAATAAAAATGACAAAGTCAGTTACATTTCTGTGTTGTATAGTAAGGTGAATTGGGTCAGGACCCAGAAGACCTAATGTTGTGTGTGACTTCTGACCCTGGCCATCTTTATGGGCTAACCATTAAATTCTCTGAGTTTGTTTCTACATGTACAAAATGAGCAAAATGCTAGTTATGCCGACTCCATAGGAATTTGCACAAATCAAATGAGAGTATAAATGAAAACACTTTGCATGCTGCTAAATGCTATAAAACAAGATCTGTCTAGACCTTTTTTGGGCTATCTATCCAGCTTGCAGTGACTCTTCTTTCTCTGAGTGTTGGCTTTCCAGCCACTGGGACGCCTCTACCTCTAGATAGATAGAAGATTTACTCTATCACTCCACCCACCTACCCACAATTAACTAGACCAGGATTAAACATCTGATCCTAGATGAGTCCATCAGATTCTCCCTCCTGAGAATTTAGAATTGGGGCCAAGACTATTCAATTTGGACTGATTGCTTGAACAGAAATGTAACCTTTGGAGCACTGAGTTGGTCATCTGCTGCTGGCCGAGGGCATGGTGCCACAGAGAAAGCCAGCTGCAGAGAGAATGAAGCCGACAGGCACGGGGAGGCTCTGATAAGAAGAAGAGAGGGAACGGAGCCATCTGACAGCCGTGCACTTCCCGGGTCTTCCTTCTAAGGCCTGATGGCTTTACTGACCTGAGAGTCTGTAAACCACTCCTGTGTCCTATGAATAGAATCTCTTTCATTTTCATAATCTGGCTCATATGTTTTTCTGTAATTTTCAACGGAAGATTTCAACTAAGGCAGTGTAGTGGATTGAATAGTGCCCCTCCAGACTCATGTCTCCCAGAACCTCAGAGTGTGACTTTATTTGGAAATAGAGTCTGCAGATATAATTAGTTACGTTAAAATGAGGTAAGACTGGATTAGAGTGGGCTTGAATCCAATGACTGGTGTCCTTATAAGAAAAAAAGAAGACAGACAGAAATACACACAGAGAAGAAGCCCATATGAAGACACAGGATGGAGAAATTGGCTTTCTGCTGCCACAGGCCAGAGAATGCCTGGGGCCACCAGAAGTTTGAAGAAGCAAAGAAGGATTCTCCCCTACAGACTTCAGAAGGAGCACGGCCTGCTGATAACTGTAGACCTCCAGCCTCCAGAACTGTGAGAGGATATGTATCTGTTATTTTAAGCCACCCAGTTTGTGGTACTTAGTTACAGCAGCCCTAGGGAAGTAATAATAGAAGCACTAGAATAGGAGCGTTGACCTCAAAACTGCTCTTTTCAAACTACACTCTACAGTGAGGAGAACGCTTTGTTGTTCTTAAGTGCCTCCTAGGCCCACAGCCCGCTTCTGAGAAACAGGCTGCTAGTGGCTTATTCTCTGTTGTCATATTTCTTGCCGTATAAAACCAACCCTACTACCCTAGCCACGTTTGTTTGGAGCCAAAGTCCCCTGGGACTGAGCTAGTCAGAAGGAGGCCAAAAAGGACTTCGGGTGTCAAACTGCCCAATAGGGACACTCAACCAGGAAATAGGAATACTAGATAAACAAAGTGTAGTTATCCCAATCCATGCTGAGCCTTTATTCTTTTTCTCCATGAGCCTGTACACATCCCTGGGAAGCTCTGAGACCAAGACTGGCTGCCCAGCTAAGGAGGCGAAGGACATCCCATGCTGCCCCATGAACCCTGGCAATAAACACCCATTATTGGGATTATCTGGGTATATTATCCTGTTCCAACCTGCTTTAGTCAACACGGGCTACCATAACAAAATACCATAGATTGGGTGGCTTAAACAACAGAAATGTCTCACATTTCTGGAGGCTGGGAAGTCCCAGATCAGGTGCCAGTCAATTCCTGTTGAACAGTCTCTTCCCAGCTTGCAGAGGGCCACCTTCTCGTCGTGTCCTCACATGGCCTTTCCTCAGCACGGGGCGAGAGAGAGAGACATTGCTCTCTTCCGCTTCTTATAAGGTCGTCAATTTTCTTAGATTAGGATCTTACCCTTATGACTCTGTTTAACCTCATTTACCTCCCAAAAGCCTTATCTCCAAATACAATTATATTGGGGGTTAGGACTTCAACATATGAATTTGGGGTGGGGGTACAATTCCGTTTACAGCAAATCTTAAAGGATCTAACTAATGTAGGCTAGGCTAAAGGTCCTCGTGTATGTATGTAACTGCCACACAGGCTTAATATGTGTTTTTGAGGAGTGGGGAGGAAGCCCAGAAAACATTCCCTAAACTTTGCTCCTGCTTCCTCCTCCCCTACACCCTGGTGGTACCAGAGGAAACCCCAAGTCCTCTGAGAATGTTTGCTGGGGAGCTTGTTTCATGGGATTGGCCCTGTCCTGAAGAAGGCAAAATGTATTCTGGGTGTATGTGCACAGGGTCAAATTTATTTTTTCCCTTTAACATCTTGTTAGAATATTTTCACCAAACAGCTGACTCATTCATAATTCTAAAGCAGGAGTCACACTGAAAGACAATCTCAGATAATTTTTGTCACCTCACAAAGACACAAAGTGCTTCTAATTATGTAAACAAGGATGTGTGTGTGTGTGTGTGTGTGTGTGTGTGTGTGTGTGTGTGTGTTCACACTTCTTATATGCCAGGTGTTGTGCTAAGTGATTTTTATATATACAATATACATACACTTTATCCTTACAACAGCCTCATGAGGCAGTGGTGTTATTCTCCTTTAACAGCCCAGACAATTAAGGCACAGTGAGGTTAAGTAATTTGTCCAAGATCATACAGTACTAATGCTAGGACTTGACATAATATGGCTTCTGAGTCTGTGCCTTTACTTACTACCCTGTATTGCTAAGTTAATAAACCATTAGTCCCAGCTATAAGAAACTGTTAGTGTAGTGGTTGGGGCAAAGGACGAGTAAGGGGTATATAGATGGAAAGATCAAAATGTAAACAACTACAGTGCAAAATGTAAAAAGTTCTATAATAGAGAATGTGCAAAAAGATATGGAATCAGAAAATTATCATGAGAAAGACATTCTTTTGCATGAACCATTTCTGAGCCTATTAGTCTCCATAGACTTTGATGGTCATAGAGTAACTGACAGTCCCAGAAGTAAACATAAATTACCTTGGAATAAATCAATATAAATTCATGGCACCATGTGTTAACTTTAACCGACTCGGGACAGTGGGCAAGCTATTTGGTGTATGTGGAAAGAGATGCAAAATCTTACTTGTCACATTCTGCCTGTCCTGAGCGAAGAGCTTGTTGCTCTGAAGTTGTGTCCCCAGGGCAGAAAGGGAAGAGGATTGTGTTCCTTCCCATTGCTCTTGCTAATCAAGGGGCCCTGTGTGCTCCAACAAGAGGTTCTTCTTAGTTGGATGAATGGATGTGTAGAGAGGCAAGAGGCCAGGACTTATGGGCTTAAGAATGTGTAAGATTTATTGGAGCTGCTGGTTAGAACACTGCTGTTTTCCTGAAATGGACCAAAATGCTCTCACACCAACCTTTCACCAATAAAATAAATAGCCTCAGGTGTCCATCGACCTAAGGGGACCTGCTAGTAGTTGATATAATTGCCAAACCACTCACTGGGAACTTGACAGATGAGTCCTTTGGCTTTCAAACCAGGGTGAGACTTTGCACCGAAAAAGGAGACTAATGCTTTTTACAGAGAAATAGAAATTCCTATTTTCTTAATCTTTCAGATATTCAACAAATATTTATTGAGTGCCTACTACGTAACAGACACTGTTCCTGGAGATTGCAATATATCAATGAACAAAAGAAAGATTTATACCCTCATCGACCTTATACTCTAGTGTAAGGAGATAGGTGATTAACGGTAGACCTACTAACTAGGTCAATAATGTATATGCTAGGAGGCTATAAAGTGTTATGGAAAAAGGAAAAAGTAGAGCAGAATAAGGTGAATTGAAAGCATGAGGAACTCATTGCAGAATTATCAGGGTAGGACTCATTGAGAAGATGATTTTTGAACAAAGACTTGAAGGTGTTGAGAGGATTAGCCAGGTGTTCATATGGGGAAAGAGTATATCAGACAAAGGAAACAGCAAGACAGGACTATGCCTGGTATGTTAAGGCTTCTATGGTGGCTAGAGCAGAGGGAGGGAGGGGAGACCAGGAAGATGGAAGAAATAAGAAGGACCTGATCCTTCGTGGGCTTGCAGGCCATTGTAGGGACTTCTACTTTTACACTGTAGGACCTTTACTCTTAATGAGATGGGACTGTATTGAGTTTTGAGCAGAGGAGTGGCATGTTTTGTCTTATGTTATAACCAGATCGCTCTGACTCCTGTGTTGTGAGTTGACTTTATGTTAGCAAGAGTGGAAATAGGAAAACCGGATAGGATGCAATTGCAGTGACGAGAGATGATGCTGGCTTGGACCAGGTTACAAATAGCAGAAGTGGTGAGAAGTAGTTAGATTTTGAGAGTAGAAGTAGGTGGAGTTGCTATGGATTGGATGTAGTGTGTGAGAAAAACAATTTAAAAAGATGATTCAGATGACTATGAACACCATGATGGAGAAGGCTACAGGTGAGGCAGGTTGTTGGATCTACAAGTCTGGAAGTCAGGGAGGAAGTCTGGATGGAAATATAAATGTGAGAGTTGTTGGTATACAGACGGTATTTAAAGCTAAAGGCTGGATGAGATTGCCAGGAAAGTGAGTGTGGATAGAGAAGGACGCAGACCAAGGACTGAGCCTCTGAGCTTTCCAACATTAAGGGACTGGGAGAAGAGGAATCAGCAGAGGAGACTAAGATGGAGTGATCAGTGAGGTAGGAAGAAAACCTAAATGCTAAATTCTGGAAACCAAGTGAAGAAAGTATGCCAAGGAGGAGGTAGAAATCAATTGTGTCAAATGCCACTGAGAAGTAAAAAAAAGTTGAGGACTGAGGATTGACCACTGGATTTAGCAACGTGGAGATCATTGGTGATTTTGCCAACAAAAGTTTTGTTGGATTGGTGGGAGAAAATCCAGATTGAAATAGATTGACAAGTGAATGGGTGCATTTTATTATATGTATATCATACCTCAACTAAGTTGATTTAAAAACACAAAAAGATGGGAGAGTTGATAGGATAACCCAAACCTGGAAATAACACAAATGTCCATCAACATTGGAATGGATTTTAGAAGTCATGGCATATTCATTCCATGGAATATTACAGACTAAGCAGGAGTCAGCAAACTACAGCCTGAGAATCCAATCCAACACTGGAACTGTTTTCATAAAGCGTGACTGGCACTCAGCCATGACCATTTGTTGAAGTATTGTCTTTGGGTGCTTTTGTGGGCTACAGAAGCAGAGTTGAGTAGTTGTGATAGACTTTATGGCCTACAAAGCCTAAAGTATTTATTTTCTGGTCTTTACAGAAAAAGTTTGCCAATTCTGGTCCAGAGCAATCAAAATGAGTGAATCATTGCTATTTATAGCAACATGGATTAATTTCCCAAATATAATGTTGAGGGGAGAAAGCCAGATACAAGAGTACACACTGTATGATTTCATGTGTATGAAGTTCAAAAACAGGAAAACTCATCTATAACAAGAAAACTATTCTAGCACTCTAGGTGCTAGAAGTTAAAATAGTGGTTACTTTGGGATGAGTGACTGGGAGGGGTTAGGAGGTGAGCTTCTGGGGTGCTGATAAGATTCTATTTCTTGATATGGGTGCTGGTTGCCAGGAGTGTTCAGTCTGTGAAGATTAACTGAGCGCTTAGGACTATGTGCACATTTCTAAATGTCTAAAATAAAGTTTACTAAAAATTAAAAATAGTAAGAGAAGAACTGGGTTATAGCAATTCTTTCATGAAGTTTTGCTGTAGAGCAGAGGAAAAAAAATGAAGAGTAGTTCACAGGGGAGGCAGGGTTTTTTTTAAAGCTATAAACTTTTTTTTGTTTTTGTTTTTGTTTTTGTTTTTTGTTTTTTGTTTTGTTGTTGTTGTTGTTTTTGAGACGGAGTCTCACTCTGTCCCCCAGGCTGGAGTGCAGTGGTACGATCTCGGCTCACTGCAAGCTCCGCCTCCCAGGTTCACGCCATTCGCCTGCCTCAGCCTCCTGAGTAGCTGGGACTACAGGCGCCCGCCACCACGCCCGGCTCATTTTTTGTATTTTTGGTAGAGATGGGGTTTCACCTGTGTTAGCCAGGATGGTCTCGATCTCCTGACCTCGTGATCCTCCCGCCTCGGCCTGCCAAAGTGCTCGGATTACAAGCGTGAGCCACCGCGCCCCACCAAAAGGTTTTTTTTAAGCTGGGAAAAATAATAGCATGTTTATATGTGGATGGGAGGAGGAAATCAAAGGTTTAGAAAAGGAAGGGGAGAGTGCTGGAGTGATGGCCTAGAGCAGGTGAGAGGGGATGCATTCTGGTGCACAGGGGGAGGGACTGACTTTGGACAGGAGTGCAGGGAGTTCATCTATGCTACCAGCACATTTTGATTAAGTGAAGACACCTACAATCTGGTGCCTACCTTTAAGAATGGTAAAAAATAATTCTGGGAAGATCATAACCCCTTTATGATCTTCCCAAAGCATTTCCCTATTTGCCACTTCATGAAAAATAATTTCACTAATAGTGAACACTTTACAAGTGCATTCACAGAGATCTCATTCAATACTTGTCTTCTAATGAATGCAACATATTTTCTGTCTCTTTAGTGAGATGACACAGAGCAGCTCAGAGTACGTAAAGCGATAGTCTACAGTCTCTGTAATCAAGCCAGGGCTGTGACCAAGGTCTCTGTGTTAGTTTGCCAGGACTGACATAATAAAGTGGCTTAAACAACAGAAATATGTTGTCTTACAGTTCTGGAAGGTAGTCTTGAGATCAAGGTGCTGCCAGAATTTGTGCTTTCTGGGGGCTGTGAGGGAGAATCTCTTCTGTGCTTCTCTCCTGGTATCTGCTGGTTTGCTGGCAGTATTCTGTGTTCTTTGCTTCGTAGATGCATCGCCCTGATCTCTCTTTTCATACTCACATGGTGTTCTCCCTGTGCCCAGGTCTGTTTGTGTCCAAATTTCCCCTCTTTATAAAGACACTTGTTTTATTGAATTAAGGGCCTGTCCTATTCTAGTATGACCTCATCTTAACTAATCACATCTGCAAACTCATCACATCTGTTTCCAAATAAAGACACACTCTGAGGGACTGGGAGTTAAGGCTTCAACATGTTAATTGGGGCGGTGGTGGGGGGGAACACAATCCAACCCATAAAAGTCTCCTAATGCCACATTTAGTGTCAGGCTTAATGACAGTAGATCAGGCAACTGCAGACTAAGTAGAATTTGAGGATCAGTGTGATTGAAAAGGTCTTTCTTGTGCATCACTCAGCCTGGCAGTCCTATCATTTGAATGTGTTTTCTTTGATGTAACTCTAATGTGACTCTTTTGATCTGTTTAAAGAAGCAGAATCTTGAAAGCCAGGTACAGTTGCATGTGCCTGTAGTCCCTGTTACACACAGGTACAGGAGGCTGAGGCAGGAGGATTGTTTAAACTCAAGAGTTCAAAGCCAGCCTGGGCAACACAGCAAGCCCTTGTCTCTAAAAAAATTTTTTTAATAAATAATAAATACATTTCCAAAAAGAAAGCAGAACTTGAAGAATAAGAGGGAACACAGGAAAGGCGAAGACTAAAGAGATTTGTGGGGCAAAGTGTTCCTCTCAGGAAGGCTTTCACCTCGTTTGGCCCACAATCGCATGCATTGATTCATGTTTGTCTTTTATAACGTAAAAGCAGCATCCCTAGGCTTTATCCCTGAGATTCTGATTCTGCAGCCCTGGGGCCCAGGAACCTGCATTTTAGCATGCTTTCAGGTGATTCGGGTGTCACACTTTGAGAAAGATTTCTCTAGGGAGCCAGTGGTTCATGGTGTGGGGAAATTGAAGCAATAAGACCCTGGGTTAAGGCAAGACTGGGCCTTGCCATCCAGACAGAAGGGACAGAACCATAAGGTTAGAGCTGCAAAGGCCCACAATGACTGTCAAGGTCACCTCCTCACTTTCCAGATGAGAAAACAGAGTCCAGAGATGGTGAAGCTAGAGCGTTGTGAACGCTGAAGAGCAGAAGGAGAAAAACAGGATTTAAATATAACAAGAAGATTGCAATGGATCAAATGAAAAGAGAGAAGAGATATGTGAAAAGCTATCTCTTAAGCCAGTGTCTAGACCAGATAATGTCTCTGCTCTCCTTATCAGGTCACAGACATTGCCGTGCTTCAAGGGTGGACCACTTCCATGCTTATGAGGCAAGCCCAAGTTCCTGAAGCAAGTACTTGCTCACAAAGAAGCTGGTTATTTGCTGGGTTTAACTGCTTCTCAGGGCACTGCACTATCCTTAGCATGCCAAGATTAAATAAGAATCTCAAGAAAACATTTTTGGCATGCAAAGATAAAATAAGAAACCAAGAGAAACACTTTGCATGATGATCTTCAATTAACTATGATTCTTCATAGACTTCCTGACAACAGTCTTAGTATAAGCATCTGTAGCTGCGCCGTTCTTTGCTTTGGTGTCACCTTTCTGACCCCATTTAGTGTGCACAATAACCCTGTAACAGGTATTACCCTCAATGGGCAGATATTTTAAAGGTGAAAATCTGATCATGCCTTTTCCCAGCTTACAATCATTCAGTGATTCCTTACTGTTCATCCATTGGCTTGGGAAATATGTTCCAAGTTAACAATCTAAAAAGGAAAAAAAGGCAATTTGTATAACAATGTACGTAGTACCTTTATTCACAGTATTATAAATTTTGGGCCGGGCACGGTGGCTCACGCCTGTAATCCCAGCTGTTTGAGAGGCTGAGGCAAGTGGATCCCTTGAAGTCAGGAGTTCGAGATCAGCCCGGCCAACATGGTGAAACCCCATCTCTACTAAAAATACAAAAATTAACCAGGTGTGGTGGCATGTGCCTGTAGTCCCAGCTACATGGGAGGCTGAGGCAGGAGAATTGCTTGAATCCAGGAGGCAGAGGTTGCAGAGAGCCGAGATCACACCACTGCACTCCAGCCTGGGCGACAGAGTGAGACTCTGTCTCAATAAAATAAATTTTTAAAAAACTGGAAACAACCCAAAACCCAATAATAGAGGGGAAGACTAAGCGAATCCCACTCTATGAATACACTGGAATACTCTGTACCTACTTTAAATAATAAGAATCCGGTCTACACTGCGGCATGAGTGTGTGTCTAAATGTATGTCTAATAGTGGTTTAATTGTGAAATCAACCTAACCAACTGGCTAATGAACAACCTGATTTCAACTGTGTCAAAATGGACACACTGACAAAGACTAGATGATACCAACAAGGGGCAAAGTATTTGATATTGTATGTGAATCAGATCTTCTGTTTAAGTGTGACAAAAGATTTAAATGGAGAAGATAATGGCTTTGGAATTTTCTTCTGGGGGCACTCACATAGGATTTTATACTGAGATTAAAACCGTAAGACCTTGGTACAATGAGAGTGGGCTGGGGACATGGTGGCAGTTTTATGTGGAGATGTCAGTGTTTAGATCAAGTCCGAATGGGGGCATGGCGGGCAGACTATAGCTGACTTCGTGGACCCATTGCTCACATGCACACTTGGCCTGCAGGCACCTCAGCTACTGCTACCACAGCAGTTCAAGGCTAGTAAGAAGTCACAGAGGAGGAAAAGAACTGCCCTATTAACTGCAAGGGAAAAACTGGTCAGACTTGATCAAGCAGAACATGAGTGGTGATGTCAAGCTGACCTTATGTATGGTTTCAAAGAGGCTCCAGGAACAGTTCACCCAGTTCTCCTCTCTTTATTGGTATTTTTTGTGGTTCAAGTCATAAAAGCATGGTGCTGAAGGCTCACTATTAATGCACACAAATGCCTGAAGTACCTGAACTGCATGCAATATCTATTCAAGTGTGTTTATTAGGTCTCTTCCAGTTCCCTTTCAAGACTTTTTTCCCCCACCACATACACCTAAGTCTAAGAGTATTAGCCTCTTGTCCCTTTCCGTGAACAATGTTATCGTGAATCCAGTCCTCTTTAGGTTTACTGTTTCACTGTGTGCAGTGGAGGAATAAGTTGAATGGTTAGGAAAGATGTTGCCCTTCTAGATTCTGTGGGTTTTCTGCCTTTGTAATCTGGTATCTCAACTTGGTTTATGCTGGCTTGATTTAAAAAAAAAACACAAAAAAACCTGGCTCATGTATCCCAAACTCATATGAGCCTGATCTGTATGTAAACTGAGAAAATCAGTTTAATCATTTATAATGAGAAATGTAGCAGCCAAGAGCCAAGATATTTATGTTGGCCAGTTTGTGAGTTCCCTTCCCATGAAGAAAGCCCAACGATGAGAAGGTTGTTGCTGTGTGAGCTTATGTTATTCACATAAGGAAGGGGTCTAAGAGATATTTATTTACAAATTGATCAGCCTAAAATTCCCTGACTCCCTTTTCAATGTCTACTCCTCTAAAGGCCCGGCTTCCAGCCACCTAGTCTGCAAAACTTGTCTTACCCCTGAGCTCTTGGGAAAAATTAATCATTAATCCTGCCAGGCTACCATAACTTTTGTACCTCTATTATAGCACCTATCACATTGTGTTCCAGTAGTTATTGATGTACCTGTCACCTGTCTCCCCTGCTATATCAGTAATTAGGGCAGAGACTCTCATCCACTTTTGTTTCTCTAATATCTAGTACATAATAGGTGCTTGGGACAGGGTTGCTAAATGAATGACTGAATGAATGAATGACTGAATGAATAAATGAATGAAATTATATCTCCATCTACCCTAAGGGCCTTTTTTTTTTTCCTTTTCTTTCTTTCTTTCTTTTTTTTTTTTTTTTCTGAGGCAAGGTCCCATTCCCGTCACCCAGGCTGGAGTGCAATGGCACAATCACAGCTCACTGCAGCTTCAACCTCCCAATGTAGCCTCAACCTCTCAAGTCTCAGGTGATCCTCCCACCTCAGCCTCATGAGTAGCTGCGACTACAGGCATGTGACACCATGCCCAGCTGATTTTTGTATTTTTAGTAGAGACATGGATTTGCCTTGCTGCCCAGGCTAGTATCGAACTCGTGGGCTCAAGCGATCCATGCACCTCAGCCTCCCAAAGGGCTGGGATTACAGGCATGAGCCACCGTGCCCGGCCCCTAAAGGCCTTTTATAAATCAGGTTTCATTAAATGGATGTAGATAGGTATTAAGAGTAATTGGTGGGGGGATGGGATGGGGCAGGAGGGAAAGAGAGAAAGAGAATCCTGTCCCCTAACCGTGACAGACCTGCCTTAGCATTATACTATGGGGAACCCATAAAAGCCAGTTGTAGGCAATACCCAATGCTTCACGTTTTCACCCAGAATTATCTGCTTGTCTGCTTCATCTCTATTATTCCCTAGCCTTATCTTAGGCCCTGGCTTACATATGCCTTGAACTGCCTCCTTATTTTAGTGAACAATTTGATCTCCTCTTCAAACATATTGATTTGGGTTCTCCCAACTCACCTTTTCCCCATCCTCTCTACTGTCTTCTGCTCATCCTCAGGGTGCTTTAGAGCCCTAGTTTGTAAAGCACCAACAGCATCAGCCTCTTCCATGAACTTTTTAGAAATGTACAACCGGCCAGGTGCAGTGGCTCATGCCTGTAATCCCAGCACTTTGGGAGGCCAAGGCAGTGGATCACTTGAGGCCAGGAGTTTGAGACCAGCCTGGCCAACATGGTGAAACCCCGTCTCTACTAAAAAAATACAAAAATTAGTCGAGTGTGGCGGCACGTGCCTGTAGTTCCAGCTACTCGGAGGCTGAGGCAGGAGAAGAATTGCTTGAATCCGGGAGGCAGAGTTTGCAGTAAGTTGAGATGACCACTGCACTCCAGCCTGAGTGACAGAGCGAGACTCTGTCTCAAAATAAATAAATACATATATGAAAAGGCCGGGCACGGTGGCTCATACCTGTAATCGCAGCACTTTGGGAGGCTGAGGTGGGTGGATCACTTGAAGTCAGGAGTTCAAAGCCAGCCTGGCCAACATAGTGAAACTCCATCTCTGCTAACAATACAAAAAAAAAAATTAGCTGGGCGTGGTGGCACACACCTGTAGTCCCAGCTACTTGGGAGGCTGAGGCAGGAGAATTACTTGAACCTGGGAGGCGGAGGTTGTGGTGAGCCGAGATCACGCCACTGCACTCCAGCCTGGGCAACACAGCGAGACTCTGTCTCAAAAAAAAAAAAAAAGAAAAGAAAGAAAGAAAAAAGAAATGTACAATGAACTAAGGGTAGGTCCCAAAACTACTGAGTCAGAATCTGCATTTTCACAAGACCCCTAAGCGTTCTGTCTGCACAGTAAAGTGGAAGGAGCTCTGCTTTATGTTTAATGATGACCACTGCTCCTGGTTCATGATTTTCTTCTCAACCTTGTCTCCTGTTGTTCTCAAGACGTCAACATCCATTGTATTAGTTATCTATGACTACATATCAAGTCACTCCACCTTAGCAGCTTAAAACAACAAACATATATTGTCTCACAGTTTCTGTGAGTCAGGAATCTGGGCAACACTTATCTGGGTCCTCTGGCTCGGGGTCTCTCACAAGACTGCAGTTGAGTGTTGACTGAGGCAGCCGTCATCTAAGGCTCTGCTGGGGAGGATCTGCTTCCAAGCTCACTCATGTGGCTGTTGGCAGACTCAAGTCCTCATGGGTTGTTGGACTGAGGACTCATTTCCACCCTGGCTGTTGGCCAGAGACCTCCCTCAGTTCCTTGCCTGGTTGGTCTCTCCACTGGGCAGCTCACGACATGGCAGCTGGCATCATTCAAGCAAACAAAAGCAACAGCAAAATAAAGCAAACAAGGTGAAAGCCAGAGTATTTTTGTAACCTAATCTCAGAAGCAAGAGCCCACCATTTTTGCCACATTTTATTTGTTAGAAGTGAGTTGGCTGGGCACGGTGGCTCACGCCTTAATCTCAACACTTTGGGAGGCTGAGGCAGGCAAATCACAAGGTCAGGAGTTTGAGAGCAGCCTAGCCAACATGGTGAAACCCCATCTCAACTAAAGATACAAAAAATTAGCCAGGCCTGGTGGTGGGCACCTGTAATCCCAGCTACTCGGGAGGCTGAGATAGGAGAATCATTTGAACTCAGGAGGCAGAAGTTGCAGTGAGCTGCACACCACTGCACTCCAGCCTGGGCGACAGTGTGAGACTCCATCTCAAAAAAAAAAAAAAAAAAAAAAAGAAGTGTCACTAGACCTATACTCAATGGGGTAGGGGATTATACAAGGGTGAGACTAACAGGAAGTGGGGGTCACTAGGGGCTCTCTTAGAGGTTGCCTACCAAATCCATGTTCATTTTCATGCAGGAACTTGGCTGACTAGTTTCTACTTCAGTTACACACTTGCATGGCCATACCTGGGACCTCAACACCACTTGGAATTTTATATTCTCGAAACTATCACCCTCTGTGCTTGTTATATTGACCACAACTTATCACTCTCTCTACTTGTCCCACCTCTTCACTCCTATTGGACCATCCTTCAGAGCAAACATGACTACGTACCCTTTTCAGCCTTTCTTGTTATAGCTTGTTAATGCCATTCCTGTCTTACTCAAAGCTCCGCATAGAGAGCTTCCTGTGGCTGGCTAGTTATATATGGGTATACTAAAGAACTAGAGGCGTGCACACTCCACACTCACCTGTTTGATTTGTGGGGTTGTCACTTTCCCTTCCTTCACGTTAGGGAAAATCCAGCATTCTTGGGCTTTTTTCCTACTCCCAGGTTGATGGGCATGCCTGAAGAAAATCATGCCATCATGTAGGTGCGGTTCACTATCCATGTACACCACTTTCACCGCGGCACCACCTCTCCAGGAATGCATCCCTACAGAATTTATCCAGCGGCATTTCCAGAGCTTTCTCACTTGCCTCAAGTCCCCAAACCCACCTTTACTATTCTGGGTCCAGTCTTAGGTTTCCTCTTGTGGAAGGCCATTCCCAGCTTTGCTAGCTCCACTTTAAGAATGTCCTCATCTCTTCACTCATTATGGTTTGTCCCTCTGGTCTCAGAGGAAGAGGTGCTGATCATCCTCTCTGGATCTGAATGCTCCACGTGTCCTTATGTCCTATCTTATCCCACTTCCTCTTTGACTTTGTTCCATCAGTTCCTCTCCTTCTCTCCCTGCTGCGTCTTTCCTTCAACTTGCAAATATGCCCACAGTAAAAACAATCTCCACTGGTAACTTTTTTTTTTTTTTTTTTTTTTTTAGAGACAGAGTCTTGCTCTGTCACCCAGGCTGGAGTGCAGTGGCGCGATCTCGGCTCACTGTAAGCTCCGCCTCCCGGGTTCACGCCTTCTCCTGCCTCAGCCTCCCAGGTAGCTGGGACTACAGGCGCCCGCCACCTCGCCCGGCTAATTTTTTGTATTTTTAGTAGAGACGGGGTTCCACCGTGTTAGCCAGGATGGTCTCGATCTCCTGACCTCGTGATCCGCCTGCCTCGGCCTCCCAAAGTGCTGGGATTACAGGCGTGAGCCACCGCGCCCGGCCCACAGTTCCTTTTTACAAAAATAATTATGATAATAATTACCTTGTTTTTCTCTTTGTTTTGTTTTCTATGTACTTGTCTCAGTTGATCATTTCCTCTCCCAGAGTCGTAAAATTTCTCTGTATATTCTATGGTTAATACATCAGCTAATCTGTCGGTCTCACAGTTCGGGTTTTTTCCCCCCATCTTTTAAAAACAGGCTTTTTGAGGCCTCCATTGTCCTATTCCTATTTGTGACTGGCTGCTCTTTAGGCCTGCTGCACTGCAGGCTACCTGGGACTTCCGGTCATTCCCTTCTCCTCTCTCCTGCATAAGATTCTTTTGCTTGGATTCCATGTATGCCCCTTTCTTGGTTTCTTCCATTGTTTTGATGGAACACTTTCTCCAACAGCAACCTTAGAAGGGGTGCTTAGAAGGGACGCGGTGGCTCACACCTGTAATCCCAGCACTTTGGGAGGCCGAAGCGGGCAGATCATTTGAGGTCAAGTGTTTGAGACTAGCCTGGCCAACATGATGAAACCCTGTCTCTACTAAAAATACAAAAAATTAGCCAGGCGTGGTGGCGGGAGCCTGTAATCCCAACTACTTAGAGGCTGAGACAGGAGAATTGCTTGAACCCAGGAGGGGGAGGTTGCAGTGAGCAGAGACCGTGCCACTGCCCTCCAGCCTGTGTGACAGGGTAAGACTCTGTGTCAAAAAAAAAAAAGAAAAAAATGGGGGTGCCCGGAAGTAAATTTTTTGAGACCTTGAGAGACTGCATATGTGAAATGTCTTTAGTTTACCCTTACACGTGATTTGTGATTTGTATAGAATTCAACATTGGAAATCCATTTTGATGACAATTTTGAAGTCATTGTTTTATCGTTGTCTAGGATCTAGTATTGCCATGAGAAGTTTAATGCCATTCTGTTTCTCCTTCCTGCATGGTCTTTTTTGTTTCTCTATATTACCTTAGGATTTCTGGCAATTAATTCTTGTAAATTGTCTTTAATTATTTGACTATTGCTCTCAATTTTTCTCTATTAGTTTGAAATTTTGATCAGTTGGATGCTAAATTTCCTGTGTTGAGTTTCTAATCTTCTTATCCTTTCCTTCCTCTTTTCTACTGTCTTAGTAGACATATTTTCCAATCCTATTAAATTTTCTATCCGCTATTACATTCTTAATACTTACAAATTTTTCTAATTCTCTGAATGTTCCTTTTTAGGAGTATCTTATTATTGTTTAAGGAGTACTTACTAAAGTAAAGATGCAATACTTTATCTTGTCTTTCTTAGAATATTAGTTATAATTGTAATTTATAAGCTTTCTTCTTCTGTTCCATCTACTCTTTCTATTCCTTAAAAGTTTTTTGTTGTTGTTGTTGTTGTTGTTGTTTTGATGTAGTCTCGCTCTGTTGCCAGTCTGGAGTGCAGTGGCACAGTCTTGGCTCACTGCAACCTCTGCCTCCCAGATTCAAACGATTCTCCTGCCTCAGCCTCCTGAGTAGCTGGGACTACAGGTGCATGCCACCACACCCAGCTAATTTTTGTGTGTGTGTGTGTGTTTTTTAGTAGAGACAGGGTTTCACTATGTTGGCCAGGCTGGTCTCGAACTCCTGACCTCGTGATCTGCCTGCCTCAGCCTCCCAAAGTCCTGGGATTACAGGCGTGAGCCACCGCGCCTGGCCATAAGTTCATTTTTTAAAGTTTTGGGGGTTTTTTCTATATTTTGTATTGGAATCTTTCTTCTATATGTCTTCTAATATCTGGTGACCCTTGGTGGTCTCTTGATTTAAGAATGAGGCAATAAAAAGTCCATTGCAACCTCTGTGCATGGCAGGTTGATTAGGCAGGGCTCTCTTCCTCTTTCCCAAAATGCTTTTCTCTTGGGAAGCCAGCAGCTCCAATAACAAATATTCTAATCTCCTCCCTGAAGATGGTGTACTGTAAGTCTGTCAGCTAGTGTCTAAAGCCAATGGTATAAAAAGGCTGGAGACCTCATTGTTCAATATGTAGACTGTCACTGAATGCCCAATAGTTGCAGGGTCCAGAGTTGTTCGGGTTCAATCTCTCCAGATAGAAGCATTTCTTTTTTCTGCAAGAATGGGTCTATCTATCAGTCAGGTTAATTAAAGAACACAGAAACCAATGTAGATTTTTTTTTTTTTAGCAGAGAAAGATTTAATTCAAGTAATTAGGAATTTCCAAATTTATTGGAAGGGCTTGAGAAGAAGGCTACACCAGTTCACAGTATACAACAGTGAACAAAACAGACCAAAACAACTCTTAGTTCATGGAGTTTACATTCTAGTGTAGAAAGAGAAGCAATAAACACAATAAAAAAGCAAAATTTGTTATATGTTAAATTTTACATACTTTATGATAAGTGCTATAGAGAGAAATAAAGCAGGGAAGCCGGATAGGATTTCTGGGACCATTTAAAATAGAGTGGTGAAGGAAGGCCTCACTGATAAGGTGACATTTGAGTAAAATCCTAAAGAAAGCAAGGAAGCAGGCCATAGAGATATTTGGTGGAAGGGCATCTTAGGTAAAGGGAACAACAGATGCAAGGGCCCTGAAGTGGGAGCATAAATTATGTATTTAAGAAACAGCAAGGAAGCTACTGTGGCTAAAGCTGAATGAGAAAAGTGAGGGTCATAAGAGATGAGATCTGAGCAGTAAGATGGGGAGTGTGTGTGTGTGTGTGTGTGTGTGTGTGTGTGTGTGTGTTTGCATGTGTGCAAAATGTAAGGCATTGTGGACCATTATAATGATTTTTTTCTCTTGGTGAGGTGATATTTTTCCATTTGAGGAAAGGAAAATTTGGACAAAGGAATAACACAGTCTTACTGTTTTAAAAGGCGCACTCTTGGGGACAAGAGCAGGAGTAAACTGAGTGGCTTTCAGAATAACCTGGACAAGAGATGATAGTGGCTTGGACTATGATAGTGATGCAGGTGGTAAAAAGTGATTAGAGATAATTAAAAGATAACCCATGAGTAATTATGACCCAACTAAGCTTGGGTAACATTCATTGGGTAGTTATTGATTAACTTTTGTTTTCCTACTCTAGAGGAACTTTCTCTAGTAATGCCTAGGAGCTGAGGCTGTGATGGAGAATGCAAAGGTGACCACCCCATTGGTGGGGATTGGTATGGCTGTAACAGTAAGTGGGCAAAGATGATCATGGCTTGGGCCAAGGTGGTACTAGTAAAGGTGGTGAGAAGTTTCCAGACTCTGGATTTATTTTGAAAATAAAACCAAGATTTGTTGATAAATTGGGCATGGAATGCAAGCAAAAGTGAGAAATCAGTGTGACTGTAGTTTTTTGTCCCCTTTTTTTTTGTTATTGTTGGAGTTTACATTAGTGATAATGACAAGACTTCAAGAAGAACAGATTTTGTGGGAAATATCAGGAGCTCATTTTGAACCTGCTGAGTTCGAGATGCCTTTGATACATCTAAATGTAGATGCCAAGTTGGCAACTGGATATATGAGCATAGAGCTCAGGAGAGTTTAAAGAAAATTTTATTAGTTAACATTGTTGAGGTAACTAACAAGCACCAAATCTCAGTGGATTACAGCAACAAACGTTCATTTCCTGCTCTTGCTACATATGGGCTACAGATTGATTACAGCTCTGCTCTAGGTTGTGGGCCAGCAAATAGGTCGGATTCAAGTGTCTTCTAATCTTGTGCCTAGGCTAAAAGAACAGCCCCTGTCTGTGCTATACTCGTGGCAAAGGGCAGAAGCAAGAGAGACCAAACTAATCCATTCAATCCAGTTTAAAGATTCTCCTTGCATATGGTGTACACCACGTATTTCCATTCTATTCCATTCCACCAGCCAAAAAAAGTCACATAACTCAGCCCTGCAATGTGGCAAAAAATGTATACTCTGCTCAGCAGAGGCATTTAAAGACAAATCCAAAGGGTGCGGATGTATAATAGTCATAGAAGGGAGAAAGCAAGTAGTTGTAAACCATAATTTAATCTACCACAAAGTGAGTATAGATAGTG
The DNA here is from genome assembly GCF_000001405.40 of Homo sapiens. NCBI lineage: Eukaryota > Metazoa > Chordata > Mammalia > Primates > Hominidae > Homo > Homo sapiens. Next base: position 69,449,074 of record NC_000012.12, read on the forward strand.
AAGAGAAGAAATCCAAAGCCTGAGATATTTCAATATTCAGAGGTCAGGGAAATAAGGAGAAACCAACAAAGGAGACTGAGAAGGAAGAGATAGTAAGGTAGGGAGAAACATTGGAAGTCAAGAAAAGAAAGTGTCTCCAGAAGAAAGGAGGGATCAGCTGTGTCCCATACTGCTCATAGGTCAAGCAAGATGTGGGCTGACATTGACCATTACATTTAGCAATGTGGAAATATTGAGTGATAGTGATGACAGAGTTAATGGCATGGTGGGGGATGCTATGGTTTGAATGTCTGTCCCCTCCCACACAAGTTGAAGTTTAATTGCTATTGTGACAGTATTAAAAGGTGGGATATTTAAGAGGTAATTAGGTCATGAGCACTCTACCCTCATGAATGGATTAATGCCATTATCTCAGAAATAGAGTTGTTATCGTTGGAGTAGAATCCTTATAAAAGGATGAGTTCAGCTCTGTTTTGTCTCTCTCACCCTCTCTTTGCCCTTCTGCCATGGGATGCTGTCCACCATGGGATGATGCAGCAAGAAGGCCCTGGCAAGATGCACTTTTCAATCTTGGACTTCCCAGCCTCCAGAAGTGTGAGCCAATAAATCTCTGAGGTATTCTGTTATAGTAGCACAAAATGGACTAAGATGGGGAAGAAAAGCTGATCAACGTAGATTCAAGAGAGAATGGGAGTGGAGAAGTTAGAAATAGTAGGTATAGGCAGGCTACTCTTTAAAGGAATTTTGCTAAAAGGAGAAGGTAGAAAATGGAGTAACTGAAGGGAAAAGTAAGGTGAATAGTAAGGTTTATTTTCTTTTCTTAAGACAATAGAAATAACATCATGGTTTTGTGCTGATTGGAAAGATCCAATAGAGAGAAAAAACTTGATGATGCCAGAGATAAAGGAGAAAAGTGCTGTAACGGGGTCCCTAAATCGACTAGAGAGAGTGAGATCTAGCACATAATAGAGAACTGGCCTTCATTAGGAGCATAGACAGTCCATTCACAGTAATATGTGAGAAGGCAGAGCACGTGAACACAAATGCAGGTAGGTGAGGAGATGTGACAGTGAGAGCACATGAAAATTCCTTTCTGATTGCCATTATTTTTCAATAGGAATAAGATACAACTCATCAGTTGAGAGTGAGGATAAGAGTGAGGGGAGAAGTTTTCAGAGGCTTGAAAGTTAGGAGAAATTCTGAATAGTCTAGAAGAATGAGAGTCTGGACTAAGAAACAGTAATGATTGGTAGGTAGCATTAAGCACTCAAGTGAGGTTAGTGATGGTTATGTGTTTTTCCCTCCAACCACATTTAGCTGCAGAGGTGCAGTGCAAATTTAAGTGGAGAACTGGATCCTAGTAACAAGCAGGCAGAAAGTTAGATTTAACCAGGATTTGCAAAGTTAAAAAAAAAATCAATAAAAAGTAAGAGGGACAAGACAAGGGAGTTTAGGATGCATGCAAGGTTATAATGATTTATCACAGAATTTAGGTTGAATAATAATGAAAATTGGCAATGACACAGGTTAGGGACAATAAATGGTTGAGGAATTAATATATTATAGGTACAGATATATTTGAAAAATGGTTGGAGTCAAAGAATAAGCTTTAAAAACAGAAGATCTTGCCTATAATTCCAGCCACTTGAGAGGCTGAGGTGGGAGGATCACTTGAGGCCAGAAGTTCAAGACCAGACTGGGAAAAATATCAAGACCCCATCTCTAAAAAATAAAAAATAAGGCCAGGCATGGTAGCCCACGCCTGCAATCCCAGCACTTTGGGAGGCTGATGTGGGCAGATCACTTGAGGTCAGGAGTTCAAGACCAGCCTGACCGACATCGTGAAACCCCATCTCTACTAAAAATGCAAAAAATTAGCCCAGCATGGTGGTGGGCGCATATAATCCCAGCTACTTAGGAGGCTGAGGCAGGAGAATCACCTGAACCTGGGAGGTGGAAGTTGCAGTGAGCCAAGATCGCACCACTGCACTCCAGCCTGAGCTACAAAGTGAGACTCTGTCTTAAAAAAAATAAAAATGAAAAAACAAAAAAACTTAGGGGAGTTTAGTGGCATGCACCTGTAGTCCCAGCTACTTAGGAAGCTGAGGCGGGATGATCGCTATAGCCCAGGAGTTTGAGGCTGCAATGAACCATGATCACGCCATAGCACTCCAGCCTGAGCAACAGAGAGACCCTGTCCCTCAAAAAAAAAAAAAAAGGTCAGAAAATGTGATGCTTAATAATGACATTATGGAGAAGTTGCAGTTATTTATTGGTAATGACAAGATCTAAAGCAGCACTATCCAGTAGAACTTCAGTGGAAGAAATAATATTTAAATATTTAAATTTAATAAATTTAAAATTTATATATATATATATATATATATATATATATTTTTTTTTTTTTTTTTTTTTTTTTTTTTTTTTGAGACGGAGTTTTGCTCTTGTTGCCCAGGCTGGAGTGTAGTGGCATGATCTCGGCTCACTGCAACCTCCGCCTCCCAGGTTCAAGCGATTCTCCTGCCTCAGCCTCCCGTGTAGCTGGTGTTACAGGCGTGTGCTACCATGCCCGGCTAATTTTGTATTTTGAGTAGAGATGGGGTTTCTCCATGTTGGTCAGGCTGGTCTCCAACTCCTGACCTCAGGTGATCCGCCCACCTCGGCCTCCCAAAATGCTGGGATTACAGGCATGAGCCACCGCACCCAGCATAAATTTAAAATTTAAAAGCAACATGAGAAACGTGGACATCATATTGGACACATTTCATTCCAATTTGTAGGTTTCTAGGTTATAAGCCATGTGAGAGAAAGTTTTGTTTCATTTCTGAGTCCTTAGCACCTCACACATAGTAGATTTCTGTAAACTTTTATTATTTTTAATTTTTATTGATACATCAGAGGTGTACATATTTTGGGATAACCTGTGATAATGTAATACATTCATATAATTTGTAAAGTTCAAACCAGTATAACTGGGATAGCCATCACCTTATATATTTTTCTTTTCTTTATGTTTGAAACATTCAGTCCAATTATCCTATTGGACAGTGCAGGTCTAGAGGTATAACCATGTTAGTGAGTTGCCAAGATAGAAGACAATATCAAGAAGAGGAGGCCAAAGAACTTAGAAGCTAGGTTACTGGAAGGTCCATATAAGTCGATATTAAAATCACCAAGAATTATGACAAAAGTGATATTGAAGTAACAGTGAACCACCAGCTAAAATCTTCAAGGAAAGATGAGTGTCTCCAGATGGGAGAATGAGTGTATAACAAGGAGTAGAAGTGAGTGGTATAGTCCAATTACATGTTAATCAAAACAGAAGTTTCAGGAAGGAAAGAGGGAAAAAGATTTAGAACCATCAATGCAAGGAGCACACCTACACCTTGTCTAGGTCCAGTGTGGCAAAATGCTTTGAAAGTATCTTCTTTCATTGCAAAGTTAAGTTTGTGGATTGCCTTATCACTTACTTATGGTGTCACTTGTCAAATAAAGGATTTAATGCTTAAATTTGACAATCCTTCCTTACCTTAAGGTCATAAATACATTCTCTTGTTTTCTTTTAAAAGTGTTACAGGTTTGCTTTTTACATTTAATGTTTTGTTTCGGTTTTTGTTTGTTTGTTTTATTTTTTGCGACAGTATCTTGCTCTGTCACCCAGGCTGGAATGCAGTGTCACGGCTCACTGCAAGCTCTGCCTCCCGGGTTCAAACGATTCTCCTGCCTCAGCCTCCTAAGTAGCTGGAATTATAGGCATGCATCACCCCTCCCAGCTAATTTGTGTGTGTGTGTGTGTGTGTGTATTTTCAGTAGAGACGGGTTTCGCCATGTTGGCCAGGCTGGTCTCGAATTCCTGACCTCAGGTGATCTGCCCAGCTTGGCCTCCCAAAGTGCTGAGATTACAGGCGCGAGCCACCGTGCCCCGCCTATTCAGTTCTTACTGTGTCTTTGTCCTTCCTCCTCCAGTCCACAGCTCTGTATAATGCTATAGCCTCAGCAAGAGAAGTGGAATCAGCTTTGTTTTTTAGCTGCCTATCATAAGTGGATTTGGAAGAGATGGGGTATCTCAAAGTGTCATTCATCTTGACCAGAAGTCTTCTGATAGTTTTATAATTTCATTCTTTAACCATTCAAATCTTTCACTGACCTGGAGTTAATTTTGATGTAATTTTGATATAAGAATCTAACTCTTTTCCTCCGAATATTTAACCAGTTGTCCCCACATCATTTATCAAATTACTTATTGAATTGCTAATTTTTGTGACTGCCACTTTTTAAGTGGCCCTCAGATCTGTCTTCTTATTCTTTATAGTCCCATTGTTACTAACCCAGTTGAGGTCACTGTTATTCTGCCAGCTTTCACCTAGGTTGCTGCCATGGCCTCCTAACTCTTGGTCTTCAATCCCTTATATACAGTACAGCCAGAATGACCTTGTGTAACACAAAACTGGTCATGCTACTCCCTGCATACAGCATTCCAATGACCTTCCCATTTCCTTAAGATGTTTGGTGAGGTTTACCATTATATCAGCTTATTTATATCTTTATCTCTTCCCATTCATCTTCCTCATCCTCAACTCTACTCTGGCAGCCCTAGGGCTTAGCCTGTTGATCATGTCATGCCCTCCTTCCTTTCCAGATACATGTTGTTCTTTGCTTCTGTCCTCACCCACTGTATCTTGGATGACTAACTGATCCATCCTGTAGGTTTCACTAAGGTGTTACAGCCTCCAAAAAAAAAAAAGCCTTTTGTGATCTTCCTTGAGCCCCAGAATAGGGGCTTCTCTAGATGATGCTATATTCTCCTTTTCTTCCCCCACCATAGCACTAATTATGCAGAATAGCCATTTCTTATTTGCTTTCCTACTTACTTCTCTCCTAGGTTATAAGCCATGTGAGAGAAAGTTTTGTTTCATTTCTGAGTCCTTAGCACCTCACACGTAGTAGATTTCTGTAAATTTGTATTATTTTTAATTTTTATTGATACATCATAGGTGTGCATATTTTGGGATAACCTGCGATAATGTAATACATTCATATAATTTGTAAAGTTCAAACCGGTATAACTGGGATAGCCATCACCTTATATATTTGTCTTTTCTTTATGTTTGAAATATTCAAATTATTATCTTCTAGCTATTTTGAAATATACAATAGATTGTTGTAAACTATAGTCACCCTTCTGATCTATCAAACTCTAGGTCTTAATTATTCTGTTAAACTGTATATTTGTACCCATTAATCAACCTCTCTTCATCCTCGCCTTCCCCTCTACCCTTCCTGGCCTCTGAAAACTACCAATCTATTCTCTATCTTCACAAAATCTACTTTTTAACTTCCCACATGTGAGTGAGAACATGTGATATTTGTCTTTCTGTGCCTGGCTTACTTCACTTAACATAATGACCTCTAGTTCCATCTATGTTGCTGCAAATGACAGGGTTTAATTTTTATTGCCGAATAATATTCCGTCTTATATATATGGCACATTTTCTTTATCCATTCATCCGTTTATGGGCACTTAGGTTGATTTTATATTTTGGCTATTGTGAATAGTGTTGCAATAAACGGGGGAGTGCAGACATATCTTTGATATATTGATTTCCTTTCTTTTGGATATACATCTAGTGGTGAAATTGGTGAATCATATAGCAGTTCTATTTTTAGTTTTTTAAGGAACTTCCTTACAGTTTTCCATAATAGCTGTACTAAGTGACATTCCCACCAACTATGTATGAGGGTTCCCCTTTCTCTACATCCCTGCCAGCATCCATTATTCCCTGTCTTTTTGATAAAAGCCATTTTAACTGGGGTGAGATGAAATCTCATTGTGGTTTTGATTTGAGTTTCTCTGATGATTAGTGATATTGAACATTTTTTTCATATACCTGTTGTCCATTTGTATATCTTCTTTTAAGAAATGTCATGCAGCAAGCCAACATGGCACGTGTATGCCTATGTAACAAACCTGCACGTTGTGCACATGTACCCTAAAACTTAAAGTATAATAATAATAAGAAGAAGAAATGTTTATTCAGATCTTTTGCCCATTTAAAAATTGGATTATTTGGGATTTTCCTACTGAATTGTTTGAGCTCCTTATATATTCTGGTTATTAATCCCTTGTCAGATGGATATGTGAATTCAATAAAAATTTATCAACTATACGGTGATACACCAGACACCATGCTAAATCCATGGGAATACATAAGAACACAAGAAAGACAAGATCACCTCCCTCGCACAACTTATACTCTAGTGAAAGACACACACAACCAAATAAATAAAATAATTACAGCTTGTATTGGGAAGAATATAAACAGTTGGCTGTGAAAGGGAATAATAGAGGGTCCTACTTAGATAAGATGACCAAGAATTTCTGCCTTGAGAAATTGACATTTTTGTTTTTGTTTTTTGAGATGAAGTTTCACTCTTATTGCCCAGGCTGGAGTGCAATGGTGCGATTTCGGCTCACTGCAACCTCCACCTCCTGGGTTCAAGCGATTCTCCTACCTCAGCCTCCTGAGTAGTTGGGATTACCGGCATACCCCACCACACCCGGCTAATTTTGTATTTTTAGTAGAGATGGGGTTTCACCATGTTGGTCAGGCTGGTCTCAAACTTCTGACCTCAGGTGACCCACCCTCCTTGGCCTCCCAAAGTCCTAGGATTACAGGCATGAGCCACAGCACCCGGTGAGAAATTGACATTGAAGTTAAAAACTAAAGAAAGAGAAGGGGCCAACCATGTGAAAAGCTGAAAGAAGAGCATTACAAACAGAAACAAGAGCAAGCGCAAAAATCCTGAAAGAGGAAAGAAGTTGGTATGTTCTAGGAGCATCAATTGCAGAGGACACTTTTTTGAGACAGAGTCTCGCTCTGTTGCCCAGGTTGGAGTGAAGTGGTGCAATCTCGGCTCACTGCAACCTCTCCCTCCAAGGTTCAAGTGATTCTCCTGCCTCCTGAGTAGCTGGGACCAGGTGTGCACCACCATACCTGACTAATTTTTTTGTATTTTTAGTAGAGATGGCGTTTCACCATGTTGGCCAGGCTAGTTTCAAACTCCTGGCCTCAAGTGATCCACCCATCTCGGCCTCCCAAAGTGCTGGAATTACAAGCATGAGCCACCATGCTCAGCCTGCACAGGACACTTTGACTGCAGAGTTGTGACTGATGACATAAGATGCATGGTGTGAAGTTGGAGACTTCAGGCAAGTGTTCCAATCATGCAGGGGTCTTTCTAGCCATAGCCAGGCACTTGGATTTGTTCTAAAAGGCTGGAAAAACATGGAAGTGTTTTAAAGAGGAGAATGGCATGCTCTAATTACATTTCAGGAGTTTACTCTGGTTATGTTGATAATGGAATGTAAGGAAGTTTCCATAGAAGTGGAGGGACCAGTCAAAAGCCATCACAGTAAATCAGGAGAGGAAGAGCAGTAATTTAAACTGGCACAGTCCCAAGTGAAGATGGGGAAAAGTGAATGAATTCAAGATGCATTTGGGAGGTAGAACCCCATTTGGACTGGCAAGTGAACTGACAATGAAGGATAAGGGAAAGGGAAAGGATTTTAACTCCCAGACTTCTGACTTCAGTAACTGAGTGAATAACGTTGCCATTTATAAGATACAAATAATGGGGGAAATAGATTGGAAGGGCACAGGGAAATCAAATATTCTATTTTGACTATGCTAAATTTGAAATGTGTGTGACAGAACAAAATAGAGATGTCAGATAAGCAGTTTGAATATAGTAATCTGGGGCTTAGATGAAAGGTCTAGTCTTGACATATACATGTAGATGTCATCAGCATGAAGCATTAGAAAGTGTATGAGATCCCTAAAGAACAGAGTAAATGTGGAGAAGATAGAACGATATTCAGAAACCAAGATCAAGGCACTGGGAGTGCTCATCGTTACTATGGCATTGCTTCTCTGAGGCTGCCTCACTAACTGAGCTAGGGAAATACATGTATGCATATACATATGTACATATATAGGTATTTTCACATATGCATTTATATACATATATGCATACATGCATTTACATCTATGTTAATTAATTAATTTATTTATTTTTGGGACGGAGTCTTGCTTCTTTGCCCAGGCTGGAGTGCAATGGCTTGATCTCAGCTCACTGCAACCTCTGCCTCCCGGTTCAAGTGATTCGTCTGCCTCAGCCTCCTGAGTAGCTGGGATTACAGGAGTGTGCCACCATGTCCTGCTAATTTTTGTATTTTTAGTAGAGATGGGGTTTCACCATGTTGGCCAGGCTGGTCTTGAACTCCTGACCTCAAGTGTTCCACCTGCCTGGGCCTCCCAAAGTGCTGAGATTACAGGTGTGAGCCACCGTGCCCAGCCCTATGTTTATTCTTTATATCTGTCTTTATATATTGAAAACCATAAGTTCACACTGATAGGTTCAATTCTAATCCATTGCCACAGGGCTTAGTCTAGCTTTCCCCTTCCATGTTTACACCTCTTTTCTCTGACAGTGAGCAACTTGACTGTCATTATCCTTAATATTCTGCTAATTTGCTTAATCTCCCTGCATGTTGCCAATTTCCTGACACCTTTAGGCTGCTACCTTGCTAGAACACTCTTCCTACGCAGGCCTGGCTCCCATGAGGCTGCCTTCCGGCGAGAAAGGGAGGAAAGCTCACTTTCCTTATTTAGGTTCTGCACATTAAGTATATTATTTGGCATTTTATTTGTTTTGTTGCTATTTTGAATAAGCATTTCTTTTTCACTATATTTTCTGTTCATTGCTTGTATTTGAAAAGACTACAATGTATAGTTTCATTTTTTCATATTTGCCTATTTGAAGTGAAAAAAGTTTGTATTTCATTACTCATTGGTTATTAGTAATATTGAACATTTTCAAGTGTTTATTAGCCATTTTAATTTTTCCATGAACTTTCTGAATCCTTTGCCTTTTATTCTATAGAAATCTTTTATTACTTTTTTAAAAAAATCAACTTTCTTGAGTTCTTTATTTTTATTATTATTATTTTTTTTTGAGAAAGGGTCTTGCTCTATCACCTGGGCTGGAGTGCAGTGGTATGATCTCGGCTCATTGCAGCCTCCACCTCCTGAGCTCAAGTGATCCTCCCATCTTAGCCTCACAAGTAGCTGAGCCTACAGGCATGGACCACCACATCCGGTTAATTTTTAAATTTTTGTTTACAGATGGGTTTTCATCATGTTGTCCAGGCTAGTCTCAAACTCCTGAGCTCAAGCAATCTGCCTGCCTCAGCCTCCCAAAGTGCTAGGATTAAAGGCATGAGCCACCAAGCCCAGCCTTGAGTTCTTTATAAATTCAGGATAACTGTTGCAAATATTTTCCAAGTTGACTGTTTTAATTTTTATTTTTTTTAATTTACAGAATTTTGATTTTTCATATAGTCAAATGTGTTGATCTTTTTCTTCATGATTTATTTATTTTTTTTTCTTTTGAGACAGAGTTTCTCTCTTTTTGCCCAGGCTGGAATGCAATGGCATGATCTCAGCTGACTGCAACCTCTGCCTCCCAGGTTCAAGCGATTCTCTTGCCTCAGCCTCCCAAGTAGCTGGGATTACAGGCGCCTGCCACTACGCCCAGCTAATTTTTGTCTTTTTAGTAGAGACGGGGTTTCACCATGTTGGCCAGGATGGTTTCGATCTCTTGACCTTGTGATCTGCCCGCCTCAGCCTCCCAAAGTGCTGGGATTACAGGCATGAGCCTTCGTGCCTGGCCACTGTGATTTCTTATACTATGTTTAAGCTTCGAACTCCCTTTCCTATCCAGAGGTCAGATATTCACCTATGCATTACTTTAGCTAAACATTTTTAGAAAATTTAAATTTTAACATTTTATCCATCTAGAATTTATTTTATTACATTTTTAGCCAATTTGTGGATAATTTGAATATATTAGGAATATTAATCTTTTGCCTGTCACAATTGACGCAGCTTTTCATTTGCCATTTTAACCTATTTCATTTTGATTTATCCCCTTCTTGTTTTTAAGCTTAGAATGACTTCCCCTATCCAGAGACTTAATAAACATACACTTACGCTTTCTTTTTTCTCTTTTTTTCCTCTCCTCTTTTTCTCCTCCTCCTTCTTTTTCTTTAGCATGTGCCTCAAGGCCAGCTATAAGTAAAACAGAACCCCTAAACTAGCCCCAGATCACTTTGGTCTCTTGGGGGTCTTACAGACCAAGCAATACGTGGGATTGAGGTGGATTTTTCTAACACACACTCCCCTCCCTTTCCCTCCTACATAAAAAGCAGTCCAGTGTTGAACTTCCCAATAAGTGTATGTATACCTGACAATTCATAAACTGCTGAAGTGAAAGGTGGCCTTTAGATATTCCGTATATAAATTTAGCCATTTATACAGAGGGAATGAAAAAAAAAGTGGCCTGATTCTGATCAGATGCTGCTTGTTTCTCCTTACACCACAGGGTTCTGTTCTATGTCATTTCCTTTGAAGTCAGTGGGAACTCTGTGCAGGACGGCAACATGAACACCGGCCTCTATACATGAAGGTGAGAACTGCCATTACGATAAACTATTCAGCAGTGTGGTGGAGGGAGCATTGGTTTAACACACTTGGTGGCTACCCTGCAGATCCCACTGTCTGTGAGAGCTTTGTTCAACTGGAGCAAACAAGAACTTTTTGAATCTTGACATACAAGGGCTCATTCAGCAGAGCATCCCCTGTTATGAGAGGAGGCACAGTGCTGGGCAGACATTGCAGTTTTTAGCCAGCACACTGAGGACATTTCTCTCATTCTCTCCATCTGTAAAGAGTCTGTTTTCAAGACCCCCAAAATGGTTTTCTATAGATTAGAAAGGAGTATAAATATTTTTACATGTTTGTACCCAATTACACAAAAAAGAAGGCAAAGTGCAATTGTATAAAAGTAGGTAGGCCTTTTCAAGATGGAAAGAAAGAATTCTTTGAAAATTTTAGTTGAAGGGGTTACGTGATGAAAAGCAGAGCTCATAAAAGAAACAATGAAAAAAACTTTGACATGGAGAAGGTATTGAAAATGAAGAATCATGTATATTTGCTTTCTATCTCAGGATCATTATTTTATTCACTGGTCAACAGAGTCTTTCTCCCTCCACTCCTTGTCACAATGGCTTACATGCCATTTATTAGAAACCTGAATCAAACGATGCTTCCAGGTTATTAGTCTACAAACATCTGAATGAGTAGAAGTTAAAGAGCAAATTGCCCAAGGTGATTTTTTTTCCCTACCCATCCCATCGCCGGACTTTGCAGTGGCGGTGCACCCTTCCTGATTCCTTCATCACATCATTCTGCTCCTGCCTCTAGGCCTTGACTTGAGCTGTAGCATATACTCAGCTTCAAGCCTCCTCACTTACAAGAACCCCTCTGAGGGCAGTACACTAGTGTTTTGTATTTGTAATTTGTCCTATTGGATGGCATTGGTGGAGCAGGCATTTCCAACTTACAGTTTTGAATGCTTTCTCAGGAAATGTGTATCCATCTCTGTATATAGAATACTTTTTCTTTCCACAGGCCATCAAGTGGTTAACATATAGACAGTATTTAAATCCTTGGGACTGGATGAGATTACCAAGGGAGGAAATGTAGATGAAGGAGAAGAGAAAGGATGGAGTTCTGGAGCACTACAAATTTAAGAGACTGGGGAGAAGAGGAGAAACCCAGAAAATCTACCTTGGAGATCACTGCGTAATACTACACTGGGAGCAGTATCATTCTTTGAAATAATAATTATAATGTAATATAATAGTTATAAACTATTCCAGTGTGTGAACATGCCCTTTATTCAAGCAGTTCTCTACCAGTAGCTTCTTAACTGGTCTTCCTGCTCTCAGTTTATCCTTACTCCAATCCTTTGTAAATACTGCTTATGCTAACCTTGGATTAATCTTAGTTATTTATGCCTGCATGAAAAATGGAAAAATTGGACACATATTGCATTTATATAATGAAATACAATGCAGTTTATTAAAAATCATGTTGAAAAACCCACAACATAATGTTGAATTAAAAAAACATAATCCCAGTCTACACACACACACACACACACACGTGCACACACATAAATATATGACCAGAAATAAAATGCTGTACATTTAGCCATCAAAGTTTAACATATTTATGGATGATGGATTTCCAAGTAATTTTTATTTTCATTTTTTATTTTACTATTATGTATGTATGTATGTATGTATGTATGTATGTATGTATTTATTGAGACAAAATCTCACTCTGTCACCCAGGCTGGAGCGCAGTGGTGCGATCTCGGCTCACTGCAACCTCTATGTCCCAGTTTCAAGAGATTCTCCTGCTTCAGTCTCTGAGTAGCTGGGATTATAGGTGCACGCCAATTTTTATTCTATTTTTGGTGGTTTTCTGTGTTTTGCAAATTTTCTTCATAAAAAAAGAAAGATTTTTAGAAAGCATACTTTAATCATGTTGCTTCACGGGAAACCAGCTTTGATTCTTTACTGCCTAAAAAGATAATGTCCAAATATCTTAATTTAGTAGTGAAGGCCCTTCAGAGCAGAGGCCCAACCTACTTACTCAAAGTTTTCTCCTAGTTGGCACAAACCCTTTGTTGCAGTTAAAAGGATCTGCTCAAGGTCTGCTAGATGTGCTTGGTACTTTGCTGCATCTGTACTTTTTTTTTAATGCTAGGATCCTTTTCATGTCCCTTATTTTCCTATAATTTCCAAAATCCTTTAAGACATGATTTAAGTTCTATCTCTTACCTGAAGACCATGAGTGAGGGACGAGGTCTCCAAAAATGAATGACTCTGTTATTCATTTAGCATTTACCACAGGATCCTTAGCATTATTACGGTTCTTTTTCTATGAGCCCATAACTTATCTCCCTAACTGGCACTTTTAAGCACTTAGAAGACTTGTTCTGTAACTTGGAGTTCTTGGTATTCCCCTGACCTCCTATGCATATTGAGTATGCAATAAACATTTGTAGTAGTTTAGATCCAGGGTTATTTCAAATAAATATAATTTTTGAAATTTGAAATAATTCTGGATCTCTCTTTCTCTATGCGTTCTATGTGCATTGAACTTGCTGAAGGAGTAACAGATTTTCAGCAGTTAATTTCCTATAAGGGAAAAATTTAAATAAACTTAATTATAAACTATTGCTTAAATATTTTTCCTGCACCAAAGGTCATTGGTTATTTTTGCTTCAGGGAACGTTCTCTTTTTACTGTCTCCTGAAATACAACTGAAATACAATGTAGCTTTCCTTTTCTTCTTTATTCCCTGGTCCCAAATATAATCTCCACATGTGCTCTATCTTTGTAGGTGAAATACTTCCTGCCTCAGTGAAATCCGGCTCCCAGTGAATTTCTTTGGTTTAGAGAGCAACTTGAGGATTTTGCATTTGGCACCATTCAATTTCCTTGGCATCTCTCCATAGTCACCATTTAGAAGGCTCCTGGTCAGTAGGATTTCTCTCCCTCTTACACTCTGTAGAGATTAAAAAAGGATTGTATTACAGGGGCTTGGAAATGTGATGGAAAATGAAATTTGCTTTAGCAAAAATGGAAGCTTTTGAAACTCAAGTTGTTCTAACAGGACCCTTAGACAAGAATAGTTTTTAGGGGAGCAAAATGGCAGATACGGTTTAAGTTCCTTATTTAGATTGCCACTAAGAAATATTATGATGTGTAAAATCACTCACTCAAATAAAGTCATTTGCAAAACAATATGATTACATTTATGTATTTAAAAATATTGGTGCATACATACATATAAAGCAAGCTTGGATTAAGATCTTAAGACAGATCGTGGCCAGGCGCGGTGGCTCATGCCTGTAATCCCAGCACTTTGGGAGGCCAAGGCAGGCGGATCACCTGAGGTCAGGAGTTTGAGACAAGCCTGGCCAACATGGTGAAACGCCGTCTCTACTAAAAATACAAAAAAAAAAAAAGTTAGCTGGGCATGGTGGCAGGCACCTGTAATCCCAGCTACTTGGGAGGCTGAGGCAGGAGAATCGCTTGAACCTGGGAGGCGGAGGTTGCAGTGAACCAAGATTGCACCATTGCACTCCAGCCTGGGGGACAAGAGCGAGACTTCGTCTCAAAAAAAAAAAAAAAAAGAAAAAAAGAAAAAAGAAAAATCGTAAGCACTAAAGAGCTTATGGTCCATAGTAAATATTATTTTACTGTTTAATTTAAGAATTTAAACCATGTTAAAATTAAATTAGTATAAGGAAGTCCTAACAAGCTCTGATTTTTTTTTATATCTATGCATTTGTAAAAACACAAATTTCTTTTTTTTTTGACACGTGTATAAGATCTTTATTATCAAAAGTTTCTCTAAGAATTTCACTTTGGTAATTTTTTTTCATATCTCATTGAAATTTTAACCACATTTTCCTCCTTCTATTTTGTAAATTACTTAATAATGATTGAAAAACACAAAATTCTTTAATTTTTTTTTTTTGGTGGGGCCAGGCACAGTGGCACATGCCTGTAATTCCAGCTACTAGGGAGGCTGAGGCAGGAGGATTGCTTGAGCCCAGCAGTTCGAGATCAGCCCAGGCATCATTGTGAAATTTCATCTTTTGGGTGCTTTAAGCACATACTTTCATGTTTCCATTGGGTTTTCTTTATATGAATATAAATGCACTGATAAATGCCTGGAAAGCAACACACCGAATCATTTATAGTGGTTACATCTGCAGAGAAGAATGGGCTGGGGCATGGGGAGTATTAGTGATGAAGAGGTACTTTTAAATTTTACCCAATTTTTTCCTAATAATCTATAATAAAAATGTAGCCATTTATTACATGCACAATGATTATAAGGAATAAAAATAGCTGGGCACAGTGGCCCATGCCTGTAGTCCCAACACTTTGGGAGGTTAAGCAGGGCAGATCACTTGAGCCTAGGACCAGCCTGGGCAACATGGCAAAACTGTGTCTCTACAAAAAATATAAAAATTAGCTGGGCATGGTGGTGCACGCCTGTAGTGCCAGCTACTCAGGAGGCTGAGGTGGGAGGATCGCTTGAGCTCAGATGATCAAGGCTGCAGTGACTGCACCACTGCGCATCAGCCTGGGTGGCAGAGCAAGAACCTCTCTCCAGAAAAAAAAAGAAAGACTAAACAGACTGGGAAAATGAGAATGAAATGTCTCACCTTTCCTTTTGATATCAAAGTTCAATATTAAAGAGCTTATATTTGATGAATATTAACATGGTAACCTAGAGGGCAGTACCAATTATTCTCCAAGTTGAATGGATTGACTTACTATCCAATAACATGGCTAGACTGCTGCCTATTATTTTTTTTTTTTAGATATTGCTGCAAGTCATCACCACTGCTAATGTTCACTGAGCCCTTATAGTCTGCCAGCCACTAGTTCAGAGTTCTACATGTATTAATGTGTTGAACTCTCACAAAAATCCTGTGAAGTGGGTATTATTATTATTGTAATTTTTATAGTGAAGAGATAGAGGTTGGAGATTAGCTGTCTTGTATGAGCTGGGTCGCACAGCCAGCAAGTGATGAAACTGAGATGTGTCACTGGCAGTCTGACTTCAGATTCTGCATAGGAAAGAGGAAGGGAGTAGAGCCAGTCTGTGGTTTAAGATTTTTATTTGATTTAATAGTTGGTATATACACTTTTGTCTAACTGGAAGGTGACTAAAGGCATCTGGGTCTGGTTGATGTGCTGGTTGAAAATTACTATTATTATGAGGATGATTATTATAGTATTTAGTAATTATGCAGTGCTTTATACTTCAAAGAGCTATGCTGTGTAATCATTTATTAGCTATGTCTCACAACATCTCTAAGATATAAAGATGCATTTATCATGCATATTTTGCAGAAAGAGAAGCTGAGGCAAGGTAAGATGGGCAGTGTTTTGATAAAAAAGGAGTAAGAGTGGAAGGCAACCTCTTAAATTCCTGATACTACGTAATTCAATGTGGACAACAGAAATTTAATTAATTTAAGCCTTTTAAAGAAAAGTGCCAGTTCCAGTACTTTTTCATGATATTTAGTTAAAAATTAAATGTAAAATATACCAAAGGTTGATGAGCATTCCCTTTTAAGTTCTCTATTTTTGAACTTTCTCTGCATTTGTGTCAATGTGACATTTTTGCTCAAATTCAACCTTGACATCTCCCATTTCTCCACGCAAGCAGGATTTGACTAGAGATACTGGTTTTCACTGTCAGTATTATATGGCTTCAAATTTCTTCCGTTGTTTGTGAAACCACGTGCATAGGATTCGTTATGATAACTTTCAACAGAAACAAACTTCATGCAAGAACTATATGGGAATTAAAAGAAGTTTTAGACATGTGGCAGTTTGTCCATTTCAAAAATGATTATAAACATGTCAATATGAGGGGTGGGAGAGGGAAAAGGATCTATGTGGGTTTATTATAGTGACCTGTAAAAGGCCTGGAAGAGATTTATACATTCTTCTATAAATCTGGTTGTCTCTTTCAGTTGGGAGGCAGTCATGGCCATGGCACATAGAAAAGGATCAATAAATATTAGTTTAGTGGTTATGAGTGTGTCTCTGGGGACAGACTGCTTGGATTCTAATCCTGACCTCATCATTTGCTAGCTACCTGAACTAGCTTTGCTTGTGTCTCCATCCAGGAAAAAATAAATTAAAAAAATATATATATACCCTATAGGGTCGTTTGTCATCAAATCTATTTAAGTAATTGCTATTATTCATTTTTTGTCTTTCCAAGGCTGTTGACAAATAACATTAGCTACAACTCCATTAAAACGTTGGTGGTAATGATATTTATAATTTGATGTCTGCACTTGCCTTGCTTGTTTAGAAATGGTACAACGTGGCCAGGCATGGTGGCTTACACCTGTAATCCCAGCACTTTGGGAGGCTGAGGCGGGCATATCACCTGAAGTCAGAAGTTCTAGACCAGCCTGGCCCAACATGGTGAAACCCGGTCTCTACTAAAAATACAAAAATTAACCGGGCATGGTAGTGGGCACCTGTAATCCCAGCTACTCGGGAGACTGAGGCAGGAGAATCACTTGAACTTGAGAGGCGGAGGTTGCGGTGAGCTGAGATCGTGCCACTGCACTCCAGGCTGGGTGACAGAATGAAACTCTGTCTCAAAAAAAAAAAAAAAAAAGTACAGTGTAGTACCCCACAATTGCTATCCCAGAAAAACAATTTAAAATTACCTCAAAATACATTGAATAGTTATGAGCACATGTAAAATATATAAGGCAAAATTCTATACTTGTTTCTTTAAAACATCCATATGATGTTTTGGGACCAGTGGTCCCAAACTCTGTCTACCATAAAGATACCACATGTGGGTAAGGCCAACTCATTGCACTGTTTGATGAAGAGAGATGCTGCATCTAGCTAAAGTCACTGATGCCTTGTGGATGCATGCCAGATGTCTGCCAGAGTGTTTAAATTTTCAAGGGATGCCAGAAATTGGGATTTTTTTTTACATGACATTTCTCAATTTTAAAATTTTGACTCAATTTATTTCATGGTACAAAACTCTCTGGATCAAACAATACATTTGTCAAATCTTTGCCATAAATATTTACACTAATACATATGTACTAGTTACACTGTGCTGTTATTCAAAGCAAATGTTTTTGAGGCATGAATAAAAGATGAGGAAGACAAAATATAAAAAGGTCTTCAGAAACTCACAAGTCTAGTGGGGAGATAGGCAACAATGTCACAGAAAAGAGTGAAAAGTGTCACAGTAGAGTGTGGAAGTTAGAACTTAAGCTGTGTGGTTAGGATCAGATCTGCATTAAACCAACAAACAAAATCAAAGAACCCCATTATTTCAAAGCTTGGCAAAGGGTGGACACCCAAGTAGATGGCTCTTTTGTTTAACAAAACACCTTAATGGATTTTGGGGGTAGGAGCTATGCATAGACAGGGCCACAGCCTTGCACAGTTCCAGGGGGCATCATTTGTGTTTGTCACCTCTTGAGCATCATTCATGTTGTATTCTTTGTGAATAGCACCCCCTGGAATTGCACAACATGGTAATTGTGTCAATAAAGGTGGCCTGGAGTCTGGCCTGAGATGAGGATTGAGAGTTAAATCCTTCTACATAATAAAGTAAAAGGAATTTTAAGTCTTTCCTAGTGGGTAGAGGCAGGCGGGTAGAGGGATGCCTGGAATGGACAGAAGAAAAGGGTTAGGAGAAAAGACATCTCTAAGATGAGGATGGGCCAGCAATTTGGCAACAACCTGGAGCCGAATGAGCCTGGTGAGAGATTGCTTGTAATTTTTGCAAGAGATGCATACAATCCTCTGTCATCTTCTACCTCCAGGAGACACTGGTAAATGAAGTCAAACAACTTTTTCTTTGGCACTCTTCTTTATGAATCAGGAGATAATTGGGAAAGACTTCACCGTCCAGAATCACACAGCAACACTTGCCTAAACATACAATGCCTTAATAACTTGCCTTTTTACTGTTTTTCTTTAAAAAGCTGAAAGTGCTTACACTTTCATTTCCTCATTTGTTCTGACATTCCAGTGTGGGTGGGGCAGATTTATGATAACATTATTTATAGATGGAGAAATCGAAATAGAGATTAAATCGCTTAATCAATGTTGCATAGCTGGGGCAGTGGAGCCCACAGTGGAATTTGGTTCTCCAGGCTCCAGCCACGAAGTGGAAAGAACATGAGTTTTGGAATTAGAGGGATCTTTGCACAATCCTGATTCTGCCCCTTAACAAGAATGTGGCCTTAAGTCAATTACTTCACCTAAGTCTCAGTTATCCTCATCTCTAAAATTAAGACCATAAAACCTCATAGCAATGTAGTGAAGATTAATTTAGAAAACGCGTGTAAAGCCTTGGCATAGAGTAATTCCCAAATAATATTAGTTCCACCCCCAACCCAGTATTATCTGGTTACATTTCAGTACAAATTTAAAGTAATCAAAATGAATCCTCCATTATAGTAATTTTTTTTCTAGCCTCATCTTCTTTCACTGAGAGCAAAACATGAATAAAAATCCTTCAATAGGTCATTTAATTCAACGGCAAGAACTTTTGCTCCGGTAAGAGTTATCCCTGTTGGAAAAAATTAGAAAAAAAGAGGAATATGTGGAAGACAAGATATTAGTTCTTAATATCTTATGCAGTGGTTCTTAAACTTGACAGTATATCAGAATCTCCTGGAGGGCCTGTTAAAACACAGATTGCTGGGTCCCACCCCAGAGCTTCTGATTCATAAGATCTGGGGCGGGACCCAGTAATGTGCATCTGTAACAAGTTCACAGATGATGTTGAGAGGCTTAGTCCAGGGACTTCTAGGGGTGGGGCCCAGCAATCTGTTTTAACAAGCCCTTTAGGTGGTTCTGATGCACTCTCAAATTTGAGAACCACTGGGATAGTGGTGAAAAGCATCTGAGAATATGGTCTGCAAATTCAAACCCAGGCGGCTCCATTTACCAGTTAGATGACCAGATTAAATGACTAACCTCTAGCACCTCTGCATCCCACACAGAGCCTGATAATATCTGTGATTCAGGATTCCTCTCACTATCCCTTTAGGCCTTGAGTAAAAAGAGATGTCGGTGAGTCCTGCCAACCCACGCTGTTTTTTACTTCTTCACACTCTGAGGCACAAAAGGCTGCTTGAATTTGAGTATTACGGAAGTATTTGCCAACACTTCTGCGATCACAAAAATAAAGTAAGAAAGCCCTGTAAATAAAGCCAAGAGCAGTGGCATTGTTTGCATCTTAAATTTGTAATAATGGGTTTTCAACTTTTTTCCTTTCCCCTGCCTTTCATAGTAGAAACATTTAAAAATCTTCCCCGCCACCCCCCCCCCCCCCAGTTTCAAGAGATGTTAGTACATTTGTTTTGCAGATAGTATGCATTGCTAAGAGGCTTTTTTTTCTTTCCCTGCATCCCAGATACAGAATCTGCCTCAGATATCTGGTGCCTTTCTGATTTTGTGGCTGAGGAATCCCACGCCCTCCTCCTTTCCATCCCTTTTCCCTGTCTGGTATGTAACTCTGTGGGTCCTCATATTATCACTGCATGGAGCTTCACAAGCACCTGTATTTTTCCAGTTGTAAAAACCCCTACTCTTTCTTTTTTTTTTTTTTTTTTTTTTTGAGACGGAGTCTCGCTCTGTCGCCCAGGCCGGACTGCGGACTGCAGTGGCGCAATCTCGGCTCACTGCAAGCTCCGCTTCCCGGGTTCACGCCATTCTCCTGCCTCAGCCTCCCGAGTAGCTGGGACTACAGGCGCCCGCCACCGCGCCCGGCTAATTTTTTGTATTTTTAGTAGAGACGGGGTTTCACCTTGTTAGCCAGGATGGTCTCGATCTCCTGACCTCATGATCCACCCGCCTCGGCCTCCCAAAGTGCTGGGATTACAGGCGTGAGCCACCGCGCCCGGCCAACCCCTACTCTTTCTTATTTCCTTAACTAATCTTTTCTATTGCCTATTGCTGATGAGGTATAAGAATCGTTAACTTTTATCCAATGCCAGACATTCTGAAATGTTTATCATGCATTATCATTTTGGATTCCTACAATGCAGAGATGATTTTATAACTTGCCAGGGTGAAAAAATAAAAGTAAATAAAAGGAGACAAGCAAAAAGATTCCAGATCCCCACCCCAACCCCCCCAACCCCCCAACCCCAGCTCTCGCCTCTGTTGAAGTCACCAGTGATGACAGAATATAGGAATATAGTTTGAGCCCTGTTTTTAAATAATTTCAAAATCTTGGTATAGGTAGATGAGATTTATACACACGTGAATTAAAATCAACCAACATTTGTGAGATTGGGTTTGGTATCTTTGACCGTTTTTCTCCCCTGCAAGACGTAGATAATAGCACCAACCCCAAGGAGTTTGGGGATGATTAAATAAGTTAATGCACCCGAAGGGACTTAATACAGTGCCTACCACGTAGTAAGCGTTCAATAAATGTTAACTATTATCATTATTTTTTAAAGGAGGCAGATTGGAGCGTAGAGTACACTGAAGGGAGTCGGGAGGCCGGGTGTAGGCACTGGATTCTTGCACCTAATTCTCCGAGCCTCGGTTTCCTTATTTGTAAAATTAGCTGGCTGGAGTAAAACAACTCAAACAGCAGTTAAAGCAAAGGGTGCAGCAGTAGCCGGGGAATCGAGGAGGCGCGGGGCGGAAAGGGTTAGTTAGGAGCCCAGAGGCTGATCTGTGGGCGCCCGGCGAGAGAGGCCCCGCCCCGCCCTGGAGGCCCTGGCAGCTCCGGGCTGAGAGCAGTTCCGGTGCCAAAACCCTTCCCTCCCCCGCTCCCCCGGAAGTGCTTTTCCAAGATTCGGGCCGGAGAGAGGCCTTGTAGGCACAGCGGCTGAGACTCGATCTGCTCCAAGTAGGGGCTCCAGCGCGGGTCGGAGTCTGGGGGTTCGCGCCCGCCGACCCGCGCCCTGCTCCCTCTCAGCACCTGGGCGGACGGTGAGTGGCTAGGGAAACGGACTGGGACGGCCGCGGGCCCGCGTCGGAGCTGGCGTTCTCGTGCCCCCGCTGCCCGCTTCGGGATCCGGGCTGAGGGCTCGGCTGCCGGCGTCCGGGGAAGGGGATTGTCGACCGCCGCGGACTTCTCCGGGCCAGCGGGACGGGAAGAGCTGGCTGTGGGTCCATGGGGTGGGCGGGGCGGAGCCAGGGAGGGGGTTCCCAGAGCTGTTGTTGCTGTTGGGACTCGAGAGTGGGGATGGGCTGGGCCTCTGTTCGTCCGTCCGACCCCCCTCATGTGTGCTGCCCCAAACCTCGCCGCTCCCTAGTTTGGTATTCTGTGTCCGGCCTGGGGTAGTAGCTGGACACCAGACTCAATCTTGGGCTCCAGTTCCCGACTTTTCGCCTCCTCTGGGTCTGTCCTGGGGTCAGTAATTAACCCGGGTCCCAGGGGTGTCGTCTTTTCCCTCCAGGGTGGGGCGCTGCCTGTACATGCCAGGGATCTTTTGCAGGGCTTTTCATCCAGATTTGCTTCAGGGTTGTCCGGGATCGATTTGGACTGGGCTCGGAACCGGTCCTGGATACGTAGGTCGCTGTGGCACCAGCATGCTCTGTATCATCTTTACTCACTTGAAAGCTTGCTGAAGCTGTTGTTGAAGTAAACTTAAAGAAAAAACTTGCTTAAGGAAAATCAGTAGTTTAGACACCCCCTCCCCCGCCTTTTTTTGCAGACATACTAAAAAAAAAAAGATGCTTTTCTCTAATCTACACTCTTAATTCTTTTGGCTATCTGATGTCACAGTTGTATGATGAGTTCATTCAGAGGCTGTACGAATTGATTTTAAAGAGTTGGACAGTTATATCCTTTCTCCCAAAGTTTGTTTACCTTCATATTTGGAACTGTCATTTTTCTTAAGGAAAAATTGTTCTTGGATTTTCTTGAGAGATTCCTTACACTGTTAAAATTGTTGCTGCAATGCAGAGTTTCACACAGGTGGGCAGAGATGTTTTGTTTAAACTTATTCCATGAAGTGTTTACTTCGGATAAACTGAGGATTTCCTAGGGGAGAAAGTGATGTAGGTAGGTTTAGTGAACAGATTTTAGGTAGTAAACTTTACTGCTGAAAGGTTTGTAGGAAATATGGGTTTTCCACAATAAATGGTGATTTAAAAACTTTTTATAAGGGAATGCAGTTACTGCAGATTATTGCTATTAGCAGATGGCCACTGTTTTTGCAGCGTAAAGTATTCACAAATCACCTTCTTGAAACCAGTGACGCTATCTGCAACTCTCATCTTGTGTGTAGATTAGGGTTTATTCTGTAGTTTTTTGGGTACTTATGTCATTCTCTTTCCTCCCACCCCTGAAAGGGGAGGTGGTATCATGAATCAGGAAAAATAGACTGAAGTGACAAGTTCAGTGAGCTTTTCCTATGCAAAGGAAAATTTATTTCAAGGTTGTTGATTTTGAACAGGCAAAGGGTAGATGATTTTTAAAGTCCTTGGAAAAAATTGTGGAGAGATTAGCTGCACAACTTTTCTTTTTCCTCTTCCTTTCTTTTCTTTTTTCTTTCTTTTCGAGACAGCCTCATTCTGCTGCCCAGGCTGCAGCACAGTGGCCCCATCATAGCTCACTGCAGCCTCCAACTCCTGGACTCAAGCAGTCCTTCTGTCTCAGACTCCTGAGTGGCTAGGACTATAGGCACCAACCACCACACCTGGCTAATTTTTTTTTTTTTTTTTTTTGTAGAGCCGAGGTTTCACTATGTTGCCCAGGCTGGTCTTGAACTCCTGGGCTCAAGTGATCCTCCCATCTCGGCCTTCCAAAGTGCTGGGATTACAGTTGTGAGCCACCATCCCCAGCATATTTGCACAACTTTTAAATTTAGATAGAAACTGTAGCTTCTTCCACATGTGAAGTACTTAATTATTTAGAGCATAAGATTGGAATATTGGAATTGAGAGAATCTGGAAAAATAGTTAAGTTAGATGTAGTTACAGATTTGCAGGTATGACAATGTATTTTTAAGGGAAATACTTCAAGAGTTTTAAGAGCAGAGAAAGGTGATTGGGGAAAATCAGATACTGATTGTATTTTTATATTATACAAGTCAATTCAACAAACACTGAGCATTTGCTATGCATGTTATGCTATGTTATGCATAGCATGCTATTTGCTATGCTATGTTAGGTAACTATGTAAGGAGCAAATAAAGGTATAGCCATAACAGTTGAGTTTCATGTTTTGGTAATAATTTCTGAAATCATGAAGAGTTGAGTTGTATTCTTTAGGCATACTAACAATTTTTTTTGTAATTGGGACTTAACATTGGCGATGGGTGTTGAGTGCTTCATGAAAAGCGCTATACTAGGCATTTTAGGATATAAAGATTAAACTTTTGGTTTTTAGGAATTTGAAATCTAGAAGGGGATATAAGATTTGTGTAAACATTTACAACATAAACATTTGTAAATACTTATGGGTGGTTTGAGGTAAAGTTTGGAGTAAATTATACAAAAGAAGAAAGGGTTCATTTTTAGCTTAAGTAATGGAAATTTGTGGAGATAGCTCAGAAGCTACTGTTTATTGAGCATTTACTGAACAGACTTAATGCTAGTTGCTGTTTACAGCATTTTCTTAGCTTCACAGCAATATGTAAGTACCTTAATAATGAGGACAGTGAGGCTCAAATATGTTAAGTTACTTGCCTGGGCTATGTGGCTAGCATGTAACAGCCCCAATTTGAATCCAAATCTGTCTGGTGCCAAAGCCTGTGTGTTTCTACTGCATCATGTTGCTCCCCAATAAACTGGTAACCTGAGTTTAATGTTACAGAGAATAAGACTTTTCTAAGACAAAGATTTATGGATTGGGAGTAGGTGGGTGAAGAAGGCCTTTCAAATAAAGAGAATGATGTGAGCAGAAGTGTGGAGGTGGGAAAGTTCATTGTGTACTTGGAGAAAAGTTAGTGGACCAGATTACCTGGAATATACTGTTCATTTTTGGGAATTAGAGATGAGGTTTGAATTTTAAGTGGGGGCAGGATTGTGGAGCATGTTTAAGTGCTGCTTTTAGAAGTTTGACATTTGGGGAAAAAAAGTTCGACGTTTGGGAGGTAATGAGAAGTTACCAAGGTCTAATAGAGTAGTGTGCAGAATGATTTGATGTGGAAAGCTGACTTTCAATGTAGTATAAATACTGGGCAAGGGCAGTGGTAATGGAATTAGAGTGAAGGCTCTGCAGGACCTCAATGTCGTAGGTGGGTGGCGAGGAGGAGGGGTTTTTGGAGCAGGTTTGGAGGAGATGGAAGGTGAAGATTACACTTTTGTTTTTGAGACAGAGTCTAGCTTTGTTGCCAGGCTGGAGTGCGGTGGCGTGATCTTGGCTCACTGCAACCTCCGCCTCCTGGGTTCAAGTGATTGTCCTGCTTCATCTTCCCGAATAGCTGGGACTACAGGTGCTCACCACCACGCCCAGCTAACTTTTGTATTTTTAGTAGAGACGGGGTTTCACCATGTTGACCAGGATGGTCTCGATCTCTTGACCTCGTGATCCGCCTGCCTCAGCCTCCCAAAGTGCTGGGATTACAGGTGTGAGCCACTGCGCCCAGCTGAAGATTACACTTTTTAAGTGTCGGAGATGTTGACGGTGGTACTCTTACTAGAAATACGGGCAAGGAGGTACGTAATGAGATCAGTTTTGGATTTGTTGACTTTTTTGTATACTTGCCAAACGCTGGAAATGTCCAAAGGCTTTTGGAAATGTGGATTTGTGGTTAAGGGGAGAGGTCAGGACTAGGCATATATTAAACATGGGTTTAGTGAATAATACAAATAGGTGTACTGGTTGAATCTGTGTAAGAAGATGAAAGTGCCAAGGGAGAATGTAGAGGGGAAAGAAAAAAAAAACTTCTGTTTTAAATGGCATCTGTTTAAAACAGAAGGAAATATGCTAAGTGATTTATTTTATGCAGTGGGTAAAGAATTTGATAGTATGTCCACTGCTTCTTCACACTGTAGGTTCACACGGAGTAGAAAGAATCTGATCATTAAAAATCCAATTGGGAAATACAGTTTTCTTGCCCTGGGTAGCAAGAATACTATGCTATCTTTACCCTGTTTCAGGGAGGACAAACTACTTCAGACTCATTTCATCCAGAGTGTCAGATTTGGTTACTTAAAAGCTATGTTAGCTTGTTTCTTTTGGACATTTGTTTGGCAAGTGGTATGTGAGGAGTTGGAAGCAAATCTCTGATACAGTATTTCACTTATTTATGTGTATGACATCGATTTTGGTTTCAAAATCAAGAACCTCTGAATATTCAAAGATAATATTTACATCTCATTAAGGCTGTTAATATTGCTTTTTATAGAAAATGGCATTTGATTACATATTTTTCTTCCAACTCTATTTTATAAGTTCTTTTGATTAACATGATTAGTTTTGGCTTATAATGTTTGGATTATATTAGAGGGATAGAATAAGATACTTTTATCCATTATATGATAACACATATGAAAGTTACATATTTTATTTTGGAAACTGTTTAAGAACTGTAAATTTATAGAATTTTGTGTGGTTTTCTGTTTAGGTATTTAAATAGGGGGAACTTGAGTATTAATGTGTAAAAGATTATAATAGTTTGCAGAATGAGGCTTAGAGTTGTAACTTTTTGAGGGCAAGTTTATTATTTTTAGACTGAGTTACCATGGAAGTGTTTATTTCCTTCTTGAGAATTAATACATTCCTTTTGTTTTTCAGGAATATGTTTTCCACTATATCACAGGCACTTGGGAATGTCGAAAGAGTCCTGTGTCAGTGTTGTTGGAGGCAGGGGGTTTTGTGTGTGCTTTGTCTGGGCTGTTTGGCTTAGTTTCAGTAAGCCTGGTATTAATGAGGCAAAGGTCAGGAGTTCCATTTAGCTTCAGTCTAAATGATGGCCAGGGAGTACACCCCTCACTCCCTCCAGCTGTCTTGGAAATTCCTTGGTTGTCATTGGTCACAAAGGTGACTAGATGAGGGTGGATTGTTATACCACTGGAAGAATATTAGAGGAAACTTAGGATAATGGCTGGGACCTCTGACTCTAGAATTAGATAGACCCGTGTCAAAATCCTTGGTATTCAACCTTGGGAGAGTCCCTAAACTTCTCTAAGCTTACATTTCCTCATTATTGAATAGGTTAATATTTGGTTTGGGCATTACGTATCATCACTTTCCTTTTCTCAGTGGGAGCTAGCCACTTAAGCTTGTGGCTCCCGAAGTGCTGGACTGTGGAGTAGTGTCAGTTCATGACAGAGTTTTCCTTTGAGTGAAAGGAGAATGTAGTTGGCTTCTTTAAAGCTAAATCTATTGATATGTTTTTCTAAAATTATCTTTTGCCATTTTCGATGGGCGCTTAGTTCTTTTATGAAATAGTGGTGATGGGTAATCGGTAGTTTTTGTTTTTGTTTTTTAAATGTCCTTGGCAGAATAAAAGTTGGCAGCCCTATGCTGGTCACCCTCTCCTTCCTCGTGCCCCTTTTTAAAGATTATGGTTCTGTGAAATCCGAAAATCTTGGCTTAAACAGAATCTGAGGGATTGGAGGAGACTATTCATCCACATATTTATGCATATTAAAGAAGGTTTGGGGTACATTCTGCCCTTGTGTTAGCCTACAGAGGACGTATTGTGATTCTCGCCACCATTGAATTTAATTTTGTCAAGATTCACAGTCAATACTTATAACATATTTCAAGGAGCAGTTCAGACTGTTTTCAGTTGAGTTCACACAAGTAGCTCTAAATTACTTGTTTAAGACTGTGTTTCTCAACCAGAGCCTCTGGAGAAAACTGTTGAACTGTGGGCGCTGCCTGGGGGTGCTGCTTTAAGTTATTACTCTGTTGATTAGCCAACAAGATAAATAACTCGCCTTTGACATAGTGAAGCAGCAGAAATTGGCTTTCCATTTCACTTCTTCTGCAGGAAAGATAGAGCAAGAAAAGCCTTTTTATTAATACAGCAAGTAAACCTTGTACAAATATCAGTATTCAAAATGCTTTCTAGAGAAAGAATAGTGCAGCACTGTGCGTAATGGGTTATGTAAGTGGAGTCACAGAAGTCCTCCTGGGGACACAAACCAATTATGAACATAAGTGCTTATTGAAATTGCATCAGTTGTCTAGATGAGGAGCTTATTGACTCCCTGGTTCACTTGGGTGGGCAGGCGGCTGTGGGGGAGGGACGGGGGGGGGTGTGGGGGTGGGGAACTTAAGGTGCAAACCTAGCCTAGGTGACTGTTAAATTAAGGCTTAACATTTGTTTCTTTTGAGTGTTTTTGGTTGCGTAATTTTAAAAGTTGGGAATGCTATAGAAATATTTAAATTCTATTAGAATGTCCAAGGCAAAATGTTCAGGTTAAGTAGAAATAGCTTGGACCCTCTGTTAATTTTAAAGAAAACTGTGGGTTTGCTGCTTTAGATATTAAAATGATATGGGTTTATAGAGTTATGTTGTGTATCATTGTTGCTGGTAAATAAAAAATGTTTAATTCATTTATTTTAACAGTGCTTAAATTTTTCTCTTAAAGTACTCCCAATGGCAGAAATGTGGATGAATAGTACCCTCAGAAGTCTAGGAATGCAGCCCAAAGTGTGCCTGCTATAAATTGAAGTTTTTGATGCCTGTAGGGTTTTATATTTTAAAATTTATATAAATGTTGCATTTTGCTATCTTACATGCATGTCGACAGTATTTTAAAATACTTTTTTTTTTTTTTTTTTTTTGGTTTGAGACGGAGTCTCGCTGTGTCCCCCAGGTTGGAGTGCAGTGGCGCGATCTCAGCTCACTGCAAGCTCCGCCTCTCCTGGGTTCACGCCATTCTCCTGCCTCAGCCTCACCAGTAGCTGGGACTACAGGCGCCCGCCAACACGCCTGGCTAATTTTTTGTATTTTTAGTAGAAACGGGGTTTCACCGTGTTAGCCAAGATGGTCTCAATCTCCTGACCTCGTGATCTGCCTGCCTCGGCCTCCCAAAGTGCTGGGATTACAGGCGTGAGCCACCGCGCCCGGCCTAAAATACTCTTAACTAAAATTGATGCTCCTAAGAGAGAGTGCAGTGTTCATCCTGCGGCTTTTTATATCCCTATGACATGGCTTTATCACTGGTTAGTAGTACTGTGCTTAAATATTTAATAGTAGCTTATTTATTTATTTATTTATTTATTTATTTATTTATTTATTTATTTTTTGAGACAGAGTCTCGCTCTGTTGCCCAGGCTGGAGTGCAGTGGCATGATCCTGGCTCACTGCAAGCTCCGCCTTCTGGGTTCACGCCATTCTCCTGCCTCAGCCTCCCGAATAGCTGGGACTACAGGCGCCCACCACCACGCCCGGCTAATTTTTTGTATTTTTTAGTAGAGACGGGGTTTCACCATGTTAGCCAGGATGGTCTCAATCTCCTGACCTTGTGATCCGCCCACCTCGGCCTCCCAAAGTGCTGGAATTACAGGTGTGAGCCACCGCGCCCGGCTGTTTATTTATTTTTAAACCCTGTGTCTGATGGTTTTTGTTGGAACATAGGAGATGGTAAACAATTTCTGATACTTCCTATGTATTTTTAATAAATAGCAAGCTGTTTTAAATACTACTAAGAAGCTGTAGTTTCATAGAAATAAAATGACTTTTAAGGGGGATTTAATCCGTTAAAATTTTTTTTTCTATTTAAGATTTTAAAATTATCAATGTATTTCTATCATAATAAAATATGGTAGTACTAAGAGCTTTCTGAAATGATGGAAATGTTCTATGTCTATGCTGTTCAATATGGTGGCCCCTATATAGCTTCTGAGCACTTAAAATATATCTAGTGTTATAGGAGAACTAAATTTTTAATTGAATTTAATTTTAATTAATTTAAATATGAATACCCACATGGGGCTGGTGGCTACTGTATTAGTGCAGCTCTATAAGGTTAGGAAGACGAGAGAGAAGAGAGATCACACATCTTCATGACACCTCTCACCTCACATGTAGGCAGATTAGGCACTCAGTAAGTATTTGTTGAATGAAATAATTCATCTTTTTCTTTGAATTTTGAAGACCAGTGTTTGTGAAGTATTCTAAATTTTTGGGGAGGAGCCATAGATTTTTGAATTTTTTTCTTCTATATTGATTTTCAGAATTTACTTTTATTCTTACAAAGACATACATCATTATGTGTGTGTGTGTGTGTGTGTGTGTGTGTGTGTGTGTGTAAAGAATTATATAATGAACTACCATGTATGACCAACCACTTTAAAAAACAGAACACTGCCAGCACCTTTGATGGCCGTTCATGTTTCTCACTACTTGTGATCTCTGACATACTCTTTAAGTAACCGCCATCTGAATTTTATATTAATCATTACCTTGCTTTTTGTTTTAATTTTATATGAATGTCTTTTTTTTTTTTTTAACATTTCCCTCTGTCTTGAAGTTTGGAAGTTAAACTCTGTGTAGCTTTATTTTAGTTCTCCCTGACCTCCAACAAATGAGATACTTTTGTTTTAAACACTGTTACTTTGATTTGCCTATACACTGTATTTGCAGATGTCTGCTTATTCTCATTTGCATCTGAGACCTCTGATCTAGGACCATTTTTCTTTGTGTGAAGTACATCTTTTAGAATTTTCCCTAGGGAGGGTGTGTTGGAAAACTTTTTGTTGGAAAATAACTTTTTCTTAGTCTCATTCCTGAAACTGGTTTTCCTGAATATATATTCTAGATTAGCAGTTGTTTTTTCTTTGTTCATTATAGATTTTATTTCATTATCTTCTGGCTTTTATTGCTGTTGAAAAATACACAGTGTGATTGACAGTCCTTTACAGTTAATCTGTTGTTTCTTTTTTTTTTTTTTTTTCTTTTTTTTTGAGACCAGTCTTGCTCTGTTGCCAGGCTGGAGTGCAGTGGCGCGATCTCAGCTCACTGCAGCCTCTGCCTCCTGGGTTCAAGCAATTCTCCTGCCTCAGCCTCCTGAGTAGCTGGGATTACAGGTGTGTACCACCACGCCTGGCTAATTTTTGTATTTTCAGTAGAGATGGGGTTTCACTATGTTGGCTAGGATGGTCTCCATCTCCTGACCTCATGATCCACCTGCCTCAGCCTCCCAAAATGCTGGGATTACAGGTGCAAGCCACTGTGCCTGGACTAATCTGTTGTTTCTTTATGGCTAGTTTTAGAACTGCTACTTTGTTCTTGGTGATCTGCATTTTCATTTTTATGTTTGGAAGTTGATTTCTTTTTATTTATCGTGCTTGGTATTAACTAGGTTTTCAAATCTGAAGATTAGTGTCTTTCAACAATTTTGGAGAATTTTTGGCCTTTTTCTTAAATTTTGTCTTCCATATTTTCTGTTTGGAACTTGTATTTGAAGTATGTTAGATCTTCTTACTCTACCTCCGTGTCTCTTAACCTGTCTTTTATATTGTCCATTTCATTATCTTTGTGTATTGTATTGTGTTCTGGATACTTTTCTTGAAGTTAGCTACTTCTCTCTTCAGCTGTGTTCAACCAGTTTATTGAATTTAAAAACTTTTTATTTAACTATTATGCCCATTTTTTTCATTATGGTTAAATACATATAACATAGAATTTACCATTTAACCATTTTTAAGTGTACAGTTCGGTGGCATTAAGTGCATTCACATCATTGTGCATCTGTCACCACTACTGATCTCCAGAACTTTTTCATCATCGTGAACCAAAACTTGTACCCATTAGACAGTAATTCCTTATTTCCTCTTTTCTCTAGCTCCTGGCAACCACTATTTGAGTTTCTGCCTCTACAAATTTGACTATTCTAGGTACTTCATGTAAGTGGAATCATAAAATATTTGTCTTTTTGTGTCTGGTTTATTTTACTTAGCATGTTTTCTAGGTTAGTCTATGTTATAGCATGTTCTTTGAGTTTTACAAATTTATGTTAGAGATGGGGTGTTGCTATATTGCCCAGGCTGGAGTGCAGTGACTCTTCATAGCGGCGATCATAGCACACTACAACCTCAAATTTCTGAACTCAAGCCATCTTCCTGTCTCAGCTTCCCAAGTATCTGGGAGCACAGGCATGTGCCACTGCACCTGGCCATTGGGTTTTTAAAAATTTCATTTACTATATATTTTTGTTTCTAGACATTTTATTCAGTTCCTTCTTAAGACTATCATCCTTTTTTTGGGTAGTCTTATTCCTTTTCTTGGTTATGTTCTCAATATTTCTTTTATTTCTTAAAAATCTATTAAATATACTTACTTTACATTTTGTGCCTGATAATCCAGTATCTGAAGTCTTTGCAGACATGATTCTGCTGTTTGTTTCTGCTGGCTGTTGCTTATGGTGCCACGCCTTCTTGTCTTGTAATTTTTGACTGTGAAGTTCTCGTAACTTTATGTTAGTTTTGCAGAGTGATTTTTAGTAGTACTTAAAAATTTTATTCCTTAGAGCTTATAAGTAACCGCCTGGAGAATAGTGTCCTATTTTCTTAAACGTTTTATTTTGAAATAATTTCAAACTTACAGGAAAGTTGCAAGAATAGTGCAGTAGACCTCTGTATACCCTTTATCCATAGTCACTAATTTTTAATATTTTGCCATATTTTTCTTTTTGCATACACACATTTATTTTTTTGTGAACCATTGAAGAGTAGATTGTATGCCTTTTACCTCAGGGTGTATTTCCTAAGAATAAGAGTATTCTCTTAAGATAATCACAGTACCATCATGAAAGTCCAAATTCCAGAATTTTTTTTTTTTTTTTTGAGATAAAGTCTCTTCCTGTTATCCAGGCTGGAGTGCAGTGGCACAATCACAACTCATTACAACCTTGAACTCCTAGGCTCAAGAGATACTCATGCCTCTCTTGTAGCTGGAACTACAGGCAGGCCCAACCATGCCCAGCTGATTTTTTTTTTTAAGATTTTTGTAGAGATGGTGTCTCACTATGTTGACCAGGCTGACCAGGTTGGTCTCAAACTCTTGGGCTCAAGCTATCCTGTCTCGGCCTCCCAAAGTGCTGGAATTACAGGCATAAGCCACCAAACCTGGCCCGAGAAATTTAACGTTGATACGGTACTTTACACTTTACATTCCCATTTTGGTAATTTGATCACATATTTTATTTTAGTCTCCTTTAATTTGGGGAGAGTTCCTCAGCAGTTCTTTGTCTTTCATGCAATTGAAGAGTATAGGTCATTTATTTTACGGAAGGTTTTTCAATTTGGACTTGTCTGATTTGATCTGATTAGCTTTTTGATTGTAGTCAGGTTATGTTTAGTCAGAATGTTACAAAAGTGATGTTTTCCTCTCAGATTATCACATCTGGAGATACATAATGCCCACTTGCCCCTCATTAGTGATTTTAACTTCGGTCAAGATATAGTCTGGTTCTTCTACTCTATAGTTACTATTTTTCCTTGTAACAAGCAGTCTGCTTAGAGGTACCTTAGTGTTTTATGGTTTTTTTTTTTTTCCTTAGTGAAAACTAAGTGTAGTAATAATATACCTTATATTTGTATAGTGCTTTCTATATATATGTGTATAATGTATAAGTATATATAATTGTATATGTATAATTGTTGAGAGTTTAAGGCTTGTGTAGAAGAGGTTTTTGATACTTTGCATAACTCTAGCTAAGATTTGTTAGATCAAGAAGTCAATAGAGTTGCACATAGCAAAGGAAATTCTAAAGCATTAGGTGACAAAGATTAGTGAGGCAGATTTTTTGATACCAGATCATTTCTTTTTATTAAACAATCCTTTAAGATATGAGTGATTAGAGGAGGTGACTTAAGGTTTTCCTAAGGTAAACTTTTACATTGATATTACGGGAGTGTTGGTTAATATAATCCTTTGATCTGGTAAATTGGTAGAAGCTGGGCCTTTTTCCCCCTAACCCTCTACCTCCCATTCCCAGTTAAAGCTGGAGAGACTTGGGCATTGAACCTTGGTTAAAATGTGAATTCATCCATTGACTGACTGAGTCAGTAGATAGTTATTGGGAGCCTACTATATTAGGCATTGTGTCAAAATGTTTAATTAAGACAGATGTGATTGCTGTCATGGAGCACAGTCCAGAGGTAATAAGCTTTTATATCTTTTGTGTGTAGTAGTCATTTATATATTTAAAATGAATGTATGTAAGAAAATATCATTTATATCTGTTGAAACTGTTTTCTGGCAAGGAAGAAAGTTCCGAGGGCTCTTGCTTAATAAATTATGTAAGTATAGGCTTTGAGGTTCAAAACTATTCAGTTAAGCATGTTCTGAAAATTGACTGATATTTTCATTTAAATTGAAGCCTTTTATTAAAACCTGACTTAAGTAAATTACATTCAATCTAGACTGCCATTTGCCTTCTGTGGGGTTTTGTGAATAGTTGGTAGGTTAGTGCCTTGAAAGCTACATGTTACAGGGCTCATTTTACATTCCCACATCTCCCACTCTCAGAAAAGTTTAATATTATACATGCTAGTGCATGTATTATTTTAACATTCTATTTTGAAGTAGACTCACAGGAAGTTGGAAAATAATAGTCCTGCATACCTTCACTTGGTTTTCCCAACGAAAACATCTTACATAGATGTCATTTATGAACACAAAAAAATTGACATCAATACATTACTGTTAATGAGACAACATACGGTATACAGATTTCACCATTTTTCAACCTGGACTTCCTTGTGCGTGCATGTGTACATATAGTTCTGTGTAATTTTATCCCATGTGTAGTTTTGTGGAAACAATACCACAATCAAGATACAGAATTGTTCCATCACCATGAAAACACTCCTTAGTGCTGCCTCTTTGTAGTTACAATGCCCCGTGACCCCCAACCACTAGTTTTGTCATTTTGAGAATGTTGCGTGAAGTCATGTAGTATGTAATCTTTGGAGATTGATGTTTTAAAAATGTAATTTGTTTTAATTCATAAAGTGAAATCTCAGAAAGTTTACAAAAATAGAAAAAAATTCTTAATTCTATCACTAATACAGTCAATTTTGGAGCTTTTTATAGCCTTTTTCATATACATCTTCTATCACTTATAGTATATACTCAATTTTGTTTGCTACTTTTTACAAACTTTATATTAAGTATTTTCCGTGTCACCATCCATCATATTTAGTTGTTGCTATCATAAGAAATGTTGCAAAATATAAAAAAATAAATTAAGCTTAAAAAGAGAAATACTGCAGAAAACACCTTTGAGTATATGGATTTCTTCATATTTCTAGTTATTTCCTTAAGGTAGGTTCCCAGGTATGATTTTTGAGTCAAAGGATATGAGAGTTTTTTAATCTTGAAATGTGGTTAAATTGCTTCTCAAAAGGATAGTATTACTAGTACTGTTTCACTGTATTCTTTTAGATTGGGTATTAGTGCTGTTTTCTCCTTCCCCCAACTTACTAGGCGAGAAAGGTACTTCACTGTTGTGGTTTTAGAGTGCATTTCTTTATGTAACAGTTTTTTCATGAAGAGTAAAATTGATTATAATGTCCTAAGACATGAACTTTAAAAAATGTGATATTACTTTTAATTAATTGGAAAAGCTTTTCTTTCTTTTTTTTTGACAGAGTCTCGCTCTGTCGCCCAGGCTAGAGTGCAGTGGTGCAATCTCGGCTCACTGCAACCTCCGCCTCCCGGGTTCACGCCATTCTCCTGCCTCAGCCTCCTGAGTAGCTGGGACTACAGGCGCCCACCACCACGCCCAGCTAATTTTTTGTATTTTTAGTAGAGGTGGGGTTTCACCATGTTAGCCAGGATGGTCTCGATCTCCTGACCTTGTGATCTGCCCGCTTTTGCCTCCCAGAGTGCTGGGATTACAAGTCTGAGCCACTGCACCCGGCCTGGAAAAGCTTTTTAATATCTGTGCCAGTGTTCCACAGTTCTGAGCTAGAGGCTGAATCACCACATCCTTCTCTTTAGCTTACAGGTTTACCTACAAAATGATTGCCAGTTTCTACATTGCTTCTCTTTGGTCTTTATCATTATCTCCTAGTTACTCTCCTCAATTTGGATTCTCAACCTTTCTTCCTGTCTGCTCCCTGTTCAAAGAGCTGCTGCTCCCTCCACTGGTACCATGCCAGCACCTCATTCATTTTTCCTATGTTGTCACTTTCAAGTGCCTAGTCGTGCTGACATGTTAATACATTACCATAATCTTATCTTTATAGTTAAGTATACCCCTGGGAGACTACAGTCTCCTGGAGCTCTCAGGAGTATTGGCCTTGACGTTTTTTGATGGCTGTTTAGGAATTTATATGGCTAATAATGTCTGAAGTCTGTATGTGTAACATATATGAATACAAAAATAACAAAACAACAAGAAAATTGTGCATCTTTTACTTTTCTGTGTGTTTTGGGAGACAGCAATACTATGTTGTTAGAGCAGCAGATCATTATGGTAACAACAGAAGACATCAAAACCTGCCAGGCATGGTGACATGCACCTGTGGTCCCAGCTACTTGAGAGGCTGAGGTGGAAGGATCACTTGAACCCAGGAGTTCAACACTAGCCTGGGAAACATAGTAAGACCTCATCTTAAAACACACACACACACACACACACACACACACACACA
Organism: Homo sapiens; assembly: GCF_000001405.40. NCBI lineage: Eukaryota > Metazoa > Chordata > Mammalia > Primates > Hominidae > Homo > Homo sapiens. The sequence goes on from NC_000012.12 coordinate 69,485,118, forward strand.
CACACACACACACACACACTCTCACCCCCCTAAAACTCTTAAAACAGAAGTTTACTTATTTATTTATTTATTTATTTATTTTTGAGACGGAGTCTCGCTCTGTCCCCCAGGCTGGAGTGCAGTGGCGCCGTCTCCGCTCACTGAAAGCTCCGCTTCCCAGGTTCACGCCATTCTCCTGCCTCAGCCTCCCAAGTAGCTGGGACTACAGGCGCCCGACACCACGCCTGGCTAATTTTTTGTATTTTTGGTAGAGACGGGGTTTCACCGTGTTAGCCAGGATGGTCTCGATCTCCTGACCTCGTGATCCGCCCGCCTCGACCTTCCAAAGTGCTGGGATTACAGGCGTGAGCCACCGCGCCCAGCCTATTTATTTATTTATTTAGAGATGGAGTCTTGCTCTTGTCACCCAGGCTGGAGTGCAGTGGTGCGATCTTGGCTCACTGCAACCTCCACCTCCCAAGTTCAGGCGATTTTCCTGCCTCAGCCTCCTGAGTAGCTGGGATTACAGGCTCCCGCTTTCATGCCCGGCTAATCAAGATGAGGTTTCACCATTTTGGCCAGGCTGGTCTGGAGCTCCTGACCTTGGGTGATCCGCCCACCTTGGCCTCCCAAAGTGCTGGGATTACAGGCATGAGCCACCATGCCTGACCTAAACAGGTTTTAATTGAATACTTACTAAGATTCACACACTGTACTTAAGTGCATTTTTTTTCAGTCTTCACAATAATTCTGTAAATTTTGAGATAGCTATGTATTAAGATCCTCTATGTGATATATTGAGTAGGTACTTGAAAATGCTGGTTACAAGGAATCATAAAAAATAACATTTTTTTATTTTAACTAGAATGTACATTCCTTCACTTTTTCCCTATAGGGTCAAGGTTTTTGTTTGTAGATGGGTACTTTGATTAGAGTTCTGCATTGCCTTTTTTGGCATAATCCACAGCCATGCAGCATTATCCATTAAGTATCCTAATTCCCTTTTTTATGGAGAAGAGAGAATATAAGGCACTTTCAGTGTAATACAGGCATACCTCATTTTTTTGTGTTTTGCAGATAACTGCATTTTTTTTTTTTTTAACAGATTGAAGGTTTGTGGCAACCCTGTATTCAGAATTCTGTATCAGTGCCATTTTTCCAGCCAGCGTGTGCTTACTTCATGTCTCTGGGTCACATTTTGGTAATTCTCACAGTATTTCAAACTTTTTATCATTATTATATCTGTTATGGTGATCTTTGATGTTACTATTGTAATTGTTTTGGGGCACCTCAAACTGTGCCCATATAGGATGGTGAACTTGATCAATAAATGTGTGTGTTCTGACTGCTCCACTGAATGGTTGTTTCCTCATCTCTTTCCTGCTCCTCAGGGTTCCCTATTTCCTGAGACCCTAAATATTGAAATTAGGCCAGTTAGTCCTATGATGGCCTCTAAGTGTTCAAGTGAAAGGAGGAGTCACACATCTCTCACTTTAAATCAAAAGCTAGAAGTGATTAAAGTTAGGGAGGAAGGCATGTTGAAAGAGAAGCCTCTTGTGCCAGTTAGGTTGTAAATGCAAAGGAAAAGTTCTTGAAGGAAATGCAAAGTGCTACTCCAGTGAACATCCAGATGATAAGAAAGTGAAAGTCTTATTGCTGGTATGGAGAAAGTTTTAATGGCCTGAATAGAAGATCAAACCAGCCATAACATTCCCTTAAGCCAAAGCCTAATCCAGAGCAAGACCCTAATTCTGTTCAATTATATGAGGGCTGAGAGAGGTGAGGAAGCTGCAGAAAAAAGGTTTGAAGCCAAATAGAGGTTGGTTCATGAGGTTTAAGGAAAGAGGCCATCTATGTAACATAAAAGTGCAAGGTGAAGCAGCAAATGCTGATGCAGAAGCTGCAGCAAGTTACCTAGAAGAACTTCTTTATCATTTTTCTTAGAATTATGTGTTATGGTTATATAGATGAGGGCTTGCTAAATTGCCCAGGCTGGTCTCAAACTCCTGGCCTCGCCTCCTTATGCACCAGAACCATAGGCCTGAGCCAACATGCCTCACCAGAAGAACTAATTTAGATAATTGATGAAGGTGGCTACCCTGAACAACAAATTTTATTGTAGTTGAAACAGCTTTCTATTGCAAGATGCTGTCTAGGACTTTCATAGCTAGAGAGAAATCTATGCTTGGTTTGAAAGCTTCAAAGGACAGGCTGACTCTCTACTTAGCCAATGCAGCTGGTGACTTGAAGTTAACATTTACCATTCCAGAAGTCCTAGGGCCCTTTAAGAATGATGGTAAATCTACTCTGTGCTTTATGAATGGAACAATAAAGTCTGGATAACAGCACATCTCTTTACAGCATGGTTTATTGAATATTTTAAGCCCACTGTTGAGACCTACTGCCCAGAAGAAAAGATTTCTTTCAAAATATTACTACTCACTGACAATGTACCTGGTCACTCAAGAGCTGTGATGGGGATGTACAAGATTAATGTTGTTTTCATGCCTACTAACACATCTATTCTGCAGCCCATAGATTGAGGAGTAATTTTGACTTTCAAGTCTTATTGTTTAAGAAATACTATTTTGTAACACTATAGGTGCCATAGGTAGTGATTCTTCTGATGGATCTGGGCAAAGTAAACTGAAAACCTTCTGGAAAGGATTCACCATTCCAAAGAGTCATTAAGAACACTTGTGATTTATGGGAGGAGGTAAAAATATCAACATTAATGGGAGTTTGGAAGAAGTTGATTCCAGCTCTTATAGATCTCTTTGAGAGATTGAAGACTTCACTGGAGGAAGTAACAGCATATATGGTGAACATTGCAAGAGGATTGGAATTAGAACTACAGCCTTAGGATGTGACTGAATTGCTGCAATCTCATGGTCAAACTTTAACGGATGAGGAATTGCTTCTTAGGAATGAGCAAAGAATAGTTTCTGAGATGGAGTCTACTCCTGATGAAGATTTTGGGAACATTGTTAAAATGATAACAAAAGATTTAGAATATTACATAAATTGAGTTGATAAAGCAGTGACAGGGTTTGAGAGGATTGATGACTCCAATTTTGAAAGAAGTTCTACTGTGGGTAAAATGCAGTAAATTAGCACCACATGCTACAGAGAAATCTTTTGTGAAAGGAAGAGTCATTTGATGCGGCAAGTGATTGTTGCCTTAAGAAATTGCCGCAGCCACCCCACCCTTTAGCAACCACCACTCTGATCAGTCAGCCGCTGTAACCTTGAGACAAAACCCTACACTAGCAAAAAGATGACCACTTGCTGATCAGATGATCATTAGCATTTTTTAGTAATAAAGTATTTTAAAATTAAGGTATGTGCGTTTTTTTAAACGTAATGCTGTTGCACACTTAATAGACTACGGTACAGTGTAAACATAACTTTTGTTTGCCCTGGGAAACCAAAAACTTTGTGACTTGCCTTATTGCAAAATTTGCTTTATTGCTGTGGTCTGGAGCAGAACCCGCAATATCTTTGAGGTATGCTTGTATATAAAATCCTTCCACGTTTTCATGCTTTTCCTCCTATTTGAAGCTGTTTTGACATATACCTAATTCCATAATAACTTTAAAAAATACTAGCCTCTGAATCTTTTTGAACTTTTCAACATAATTTTCACAGAAACAACCTTTTTCCTCATAATTCAGTTCATACGATCTTAAATTATATAATTAACAATAACAAGTGCAGTTGGCATAAACTGGTTTGGGAATGGACTGCTGGCTCTTATTAAGCATTAAGTGCAGAAGGGTAGGGACATGTTAAGAAAGTGGTCTGCTTAGAAGACTACTAGGTGTAGGTGATGAGCCTGTGTTGGGCATTAGGGAGTGATTTATGGAGGGATTGGAGAGCTTTACTTTTGTAAGTTTGATACAGTAGAAGTCTGTTAAAAGAGTTTCTACTGAATTATTATTCCTCTTTCCATTTTATAGATGAAAAAACTGAGGCCTCAGAGAGTTAAGTAACCTTCCCAAGGTCAGGCAGGTGATAATAGTGGAGCCCCAGGATTTTTACCTAGATGTTTATTGGTTCAAATACAGCATGTACTCTTACCTTCTGTGCAGGTGTTTGATGCCTTTTAGGGAATCTGATTTACCCAGTCAATAGGTAATCTTGAGTGGTCTTCAGGTAGTGTTTGGGGTAGAGTTCTGTAAGTTGTCCCACATCTTAGATACTGGCTTCATTTTGCTCCTTGGTTCTTTTTTTTGCACCAACTGTGTAAGAAAAATGAGGGAACATTCCAAGATAAAAATTAAGCTTACAAGCCTTGGTTAGGTGGCTTCCGCCTATAATCCCAGCACTTTTGGAGGCTGAGGTGGGAGGATTGCTTGAGCTCAGGAGTTCAAGACCAGCCTGGGCAACATGGTGAAATGCCGTCTCTACTAAAAATACAAAAATTGGCTGGGTGTGGTGGCGCATGCCTGTAGTCCCAGCTACTCAGGAGGCTGAGGCAGGAGAATCGCTTGAACCCAGGAGGCGGAAATTGCAGTGAGCTGAGACCATGCCACTGCACTCCAGCCTGGGGACAGAGCAAGACTCCATCTCAAAAAAAAAAAAAAAAGAAAATTATTGGTTGGTTGGTGACATTCTTGTCCTTTTTCTCTGTAATTGTCAAGATATGTAAATATCACATATTCTGAGGTGTTTTTTATATCCTGTTTTCTTAACTGTACCTTTTGTGAAGTTTTTGGGGTTTTTTTTTTTGGCTTTTCTGGGGGTCATTAGCCTGAGTGTTTGAATCTGGCAAAGGAATATACTGATTGTTTGATATGCCAGCTAACATCTTTTGTTTGCTGAGGTATATTGTAGACCTCAAGAGACTGTAATTGATTTTAACAACAAACCTTTGAGCTATATAGTTTGATTAAAAAAAAAATAGGTCGTCAAGTCTAAAACATACTGATGTAGCAGTATGTTCAGATGGCCAAGTCATAATGTTAACAAAAGACCCAGTAAAAGGATTTTAACAAAAAATAAATACACTACTCTTTATGTTACCGTTATGTATTTTCCCCATGTCAAGAATATGCTTTCTTGTTTTATAATGAAATAGATTGTTTGAATCTGAGAAAGAAGAGGGGACCTGAGTAGTATTAGCTGCTATCAAATTAATAATTCTTTATCTAATAGCAAAAACAAAAATCATATTAAATAGCAACATTTAAAAATTAGCTTGAAAAAGATGAACTGTTTCTTTACATTTCTTGAGTTTTAATGACTAATTGAGGGATTATAGTGTTCAGCTTATTTGGAATTTAAGAGCTAAAAAGAAAAATTCCATTAGAAAAATACCTTGAAAATGTGTGGGTTTTTTTTTTTTTTTTGGCATTTGAAACTTTTGCCCAAGTTTTTGTCCTCCTTCTTCTCTTGTTTTTAACTGCCTTTTGGATTCAAATGATTTTGGCACTTCTTAGGTTCTTTACAAAATATTTCTGGTGTATATAGCCATTTGAGATCTAGACCATAACCAGAAATTTCAGCCAGATGGTTTTTTTCTTTTGGTGAAGCACAGTTTGTAGAGTGCTAACAAAATTGTATTGTATTCAGTGTTATTTCTGTAAAAAGATTGCTTTGGGTAAGATACATTCTTTGTGTATTTCTTGACTTCTTATATTTTGTTTTGGTTGATGCAAAGTTGCCATGGTTATACTTTTCACTAAAGAAATAAGTCCTCTACCTATGGTTATTGGTAACCTCTAGTAGCCTAGATTTTCAGTCCAAATTAAAAGTGCCTAGAGATAAAAGAGTAGAACTATTTATGGATTAGAGGATCTGAGAGAATGTCCTAAATTATTTTGCTGTTTTAAAAATTATTTTAACAAAAGTTTAGTAAGTGTACATGATCTAAAATTTAAAGATACAAAAGGGCTTATTGTGAAAAGCAAGTCTTTTTTCCTACCTTTCTGTCTACTAGGTCCCATGCCCTAAGGCAGTTCCTGTTTATAGCACATTTTCTTCCTACATTTATAACCACATTCTTTTTCTTTTGAGACAGGGTCTCTTGCTCTGTCACCCTGGCTGGAGTGCAGTGGCGTAATCTTGGCTCATTGCAGCCTTGACCTCCTGGCCTCAAGCGATCCTCCCACCTCAGCCCTTGAAGTAGCTGGGACCACAGGCACAAGCCACCCACCTGCCTAATTTTTTATATTTTTTATAAAGACGAGGTTTTGCCATGTTGTCCAGGCTGCTCTCAAACACCTGAGCTCCAGCGACCTGCCCACCTCGGCCTTTCAAAGTGCTGCGATTAATAGTCGTGAACTACCGCGCCTGGCCCATACGTAGCTTTTTAATGGCTGTATAGTATCCATCAAACGGAATGTACTATAAATTCCTTTTTTGGTGGACATTAAGTTTGTTTCCTATCTTTGGTGCGTTTCTTCCATTTTTTTTTTTTTTTTTTTTTTTTGGAGACAGGTACCCAGGCTGAAGTGCAGTGTCACAATCATAGCTCACCACGGTCTTGAACTCCTGGGCTCAAGCGATCATTCTGACTCAGCCTCCCAAGTAGGTAGGACCACAGGTGTACAGGTACATACCTCCATTTCCAGCTAAGTTTTTAAAATTTTGTTGTAGAGACGGGGACTCACTATGTTGTCCATGCTGGTCTCAAGTGCCTGGCCTCAAGTAGTCCTCTCAACTGCTGGGTTTACAGGTGTGAGTGAGCCACAGTGCTGGGGCTATGTTTGACTTTTAAAATAATGATTTAATGAATATTGTATACATATTTTGCCCGTGCAAGTACTTTAAAATTAGAAGTAGAATTTCTGTGTCCGTGGATATACAATAGCATTTTTGATAAATATTTCCAAATTGTTCTTTGTGTATTCATTTCTAAAGATAGAATGTTAGTTTTATAAGGTACTCTGCAAAAATATGATTACTAGTTTGGTTATATGCTGTTTATAATTAGATTTATTTTCTCTATTTTTATTAATTATGTGGTTGCAAGCACTGATCACTCTTGTGCAAACAACTGGCTTTCACTTGTTTACTTCATCAAAAATGTATTATTTTCATTATTAGCAGTCACTGTAATTTTACTTTATGTGGATAGCCTGTATCTTGTGAATGAATTGTGTTTAAAAAAGAATTTGACTAGAGGCTGGGGGTAGAGGAAAGGGAGAGTTTGAAATAAGACAAAGAAACAAAAAAAAGTAATTTGGAATTATGAATCTGTATTTCCATTAAGTCATATAAAATGGAGTAACAGGGAAATGGGAAAATATGTTACTAGTTCCACCCAGGGGATCCTGATATCTGTGATTCAGGTAAGTTGAGATGAACTAGGTCTTGAAGGAGATGATGGAGAGGGATGAAAAGTGGAAATGGCTGTAATTGTCAGGAAGATTTATGGAATCTGAGAAAAAGGAAATGGAATGGAAAAGAAGATTTCTAGGGATAAGACAAAGAACCATCTGTATGTTAAGCATAGTTTATTCCTTTTTTTAAAAATCTCATATATTTTTGGGGGGCAAGCGAGTGGTTACTGTTGAAGTCACTTTAAGGATTGTTTTGGGAGAGAGGATAGCTTGGCTCCATATGGATTTTTTTTAGGGATGCTCTAACTATTCTTCCCTGACGTGAAAACATACACAAAAGCTCTAACTTAAAAGATAATGTTCTGTCTGTTATAGTCCACTTAGTTTAGAGGTATCTAGGGCTGGTCTCACTTGGTAGCAATAATTCTCTGTTTGGTTCCATGGTGGAGCAAAACAGACTTGACTGTACAGCCATTGTCCTTCAGATGTGTCTAAATTTCTCAGTCTGTTTATGAGCATCAACAAACACTTTGTGCATACTTCTGCCATGGGTTGAATGCGTCTATTTTCCTTTAATTTAGTTTAAAACTAGTAATGGAATTCCTGAGGTTTTGAGAGGAATAGTGTTGGCAAATTAAGTTTTGAAACTAAAGACATATTAAGATACCAAGCAAAACAGAGAGACTATTGCTTTAGAAAGAGATCTTAAAACTCCGCTGACATTTGCAAAGCCAGTGTCTTATATTTATAAAAGCTTTAGATAGGAACTGCTATTTTTCTAAAATTGTTGGTTTAAAAATAATTGTTACATTTGTGCATTTTAAAAGTTGCTTCTAACACACTTTGGGTATGCTTGAGCTCAGCCTTTTCAGCAAAGTATACAGACATTTGGGCATCAGCCTTTTTGGTCTTATTCTGTCTCAGACGATTTATGGATTGTGGATGTCAGGGATTTGATAAGCTCCCATTAAAATATGATGTGGTTTTTAAAATTGCTTAAAATGCCCTTTGAACCTGTTAAAATGTGCTGCCGTCATCTGAATTAAGAAATTTAGCTGCCGGGCGCGATGGCTCACGCCTGTGATCCCAGCACTTTGGAAGGCCAAGGCGGGTGGATCACCTGAGGTCGGGAGTTCAAGACCAGCCTGACCAGCATAAAGAAACCACGTCTCTACTAAAAATACAAAAATTAGCTGGGCATGGTGGCGCATGCCTGTAATCCCAGTTACTTGGGTGGCTGAGGCAGGAGAATTGCTTGAACCCGGGAGGCGGGGGTTGTGATAAGCCGAGATCGCGCCATTGCACTCCAGCCTGGGCAACAAGAGCGAAACTCCGCCTCAAAAACAAAACAAAACAAAAAAGAAATTTAGCTAAATATTGCTAAAATGGCAAATGATAGCACTTGTCATTTTGATGTTTGTGCGTTAAGTGTACTTTCATTCCCTTTAGAAAATACTAGCTGCATATACATAGGATTTAATCAGGAAAATATGCTTTTTCCCTGATTAAATATCTTTAATACTATTTCATCTGCATTCCATTAATATTCAATCGTGGCCTCAGCTATTTACGTGAATTTTACCCATCAATCCATGAGCTTTTTTGAGTGCCTACTGTGTGTTAAATCTATCTGTATGTTTTGTTTTCTTGTTAGGCTTCTTTTCAGAATTTTTCCAGGGCAAGAATTATGTTTTCTTATATTTGGCAATTTTGCACAATGCAATTTATACCTTATTGTAATGGGTAGGTGCTTAGAATTTATTCGTCCATTTGTGCTAGACGCTGAGGCTACAAAGTCCAATAAGGTAAGGACTCTTATCTTCAAGTTCCTTAAATTTTGATAGGCGATAAAATAATTATAGTACCATAATAATTTAAAAATACATCTTTGAGTGGGCCAGAGCTCTGTCTGTGATGGAGATTTTACTCTGAAGAATGGTAACTAACATTTGTAGAGTGTCTACTCTCTGCCTAGGGCTTCTGTTTCAGTTTTTCCTCCTAGCAATCTTTCAGTATAAGCATGATATCCAATTTATACATGAGGAAACTCTCTCAGAGAGGTTATATAATTTGCTGCAGCTCATTTAGCTAATGAGTTGTGGAGCTGGAATTCTAACTCAGTTCTTTCTTTTAAACTGGGGCTTCTAAATGTTAGCATTATTGACATCTTGAGCCAGATACTTCTTTGTTGTGGGAGACTGTCCTATGCATTGTAGAATGTTTAATAACATCCCTGGCTCTACCTAAGGCCAGAGTGAGTCAAGGAGGCACGTAGGACTTAAAATTTAAGGAGGCAGTCACTCTCAGGATCTTGTAAGTGCTGACCCTATGTTTTATCTCACAGCACCTGAGTAAGTTCTCCTGTGCTATAGCCTGTTGCTTCTAGATTTTTGTTTTGTTTTGTTTTCGAGATGGAGTTTTGCTCTTGTTGCCCAGTCTGGAGTACAGTGGTGCACTCTCGGCTCGCTGCAACCTCCACCTCCTGGGTTCAAGTGATTCCCCTGTCTCAACCTCCCGAGTAGCTGGGATTATAGACGCCCACCATCACGCCCAGCTAATTTTTAAATTTTTAGTAGAGACAGAGTTTCACCATGTTGGCCAGGCTGATCTCAAACTCCTGACCTCAGATCCACCCACCTTGGCCTCCCAAAGTGCTGGGATTACAGGCATGAACCACCTCGCCTGGCCGCTTCTAGGTTTTAATTCAGTATTCCCTGGTATCGATATGAGGACTAAATCTCCTACACACTTAAAAGTTTCGTGGGAGCTGAAGAACAGTGATGAACAGGAGCTTTTAGGCGTTTATTGTTTTTCTCATCCCAGAACACATACTCTTGGCCAAAAGTGACTAATCAGAAATAGCATTTATAAATGCTAAATAAATACTTGCTAAGTATTACAGTGCTTAGAAGCTGTAAGTGATGTGTTATGAAACAAACCTATTGCTTCAAATTATTGGAAACTTGTACTATACATGGAATATACTCAGCTTACTCATGCCTGGTGGGCCTAGCATTTAGCTGCTAGTCTTGGCTTATTTACCATTAGAAATTCCATTGATTGTTTTCTCATGTCTGTGCCTCAATATAATAAATATTTCCTTGTTGTATGGATACATGCACTAATACCTTTTGATTAACTACATGATAAACACAGTCTAGATCGTTTGGGTGGGTAGTTCTCTAGAATGGAGTATTTAAAAAATGGAGACTATAATAAAAATCTAAATTTTAGGAGTATTACAAAATAATGCTTAACAGTTTGGGAGGCTGAGGCAGGAGGATAATTTGAGGCCAGGAGTTTAAGACTGGCCTGGGCAACATAGCAAGACACTGTCTCTACAAAATAGCAACAACAACCAAAACAAAAATTAGCTGGCTGTGGTGGTGCACACCTGTAGTCGTAGCTACTTGGGTGGTGCACACCTGTAGTCGTAGCTACTTGGGAGGCTCATAGGGAGGATTGATTGAGCCTAGGAGATAGAGGCTTTGTGAACTCTGATAGTGCCGTTGCACTCCAGTCTGGATGACAGCGAGACTCTCTCAAAAAAAGAGAAAGGAAAAAAAAAGTGCTTAATTGAATTATTAATAGTATGCCAGATTTGGAGGCCAAGTAGTTTTAACTTACATTTAGCTTTCTGATAAAGCATTAATATTTGACTTACGATAATACTAATTTTTTTCTTTTAAGTTTTAGTGTGTTTTTTTGATAAATGGTCAAAACTCTGTCCTAAAACATATTGTCATGGATTTACACTTAAAGCTTGTAGTCTGGCCAGGCGTGGGGGCTCACGCCTGTAATCCCAGCACTGTGGGAGGCCGAGGCGGGCGGATCATGAGGTCAGGAGATCGAGACCATCCTGGCTAACACAGTGAAACCCCGAATCTACTAAAAATACAAAAAAATTAGCCGGGCGTGGTGGTGGGCACCTGTAATCCCAGTTACTCAGGCGGCTGAGGCAAGAGAATTGCTTGAACCGGCGAGGCGGAGGTTGCAGTGAGCCGAGATCGCGCCACTGCACCTCCAGTCTGGTGACAGAGTGAGACTCCATCTCAAAAGAAAAAAAAAAGCTTGTAGTCTGATGAACAAATCCATTGCAATAGAAAGGAGCCTGTGAACGATAAAATAGGTATATCTACATATTTTTGAAGTGTCCAGCTAAAGTCAAAACAGCAACCTAGTTTGGGTTTGGTAGAGCTCTTACAGGCTTCAGATCAGGTATATATAAACCAAACGCTTTCACTTATAATAATAGTGTATAACAATTCTAACTTGCAGTTGTATTAGTAGTTTTATCATTATTAGGAAACACTCTATACTTTGTAGCTTTTTGCCTAAGGTAACTTTTGGTTAGAGAAGATATTAGTTATCTTTACCATTTGCCTACAAAAATCGTTGCTTAGGGCATAACAAATAGGAATCATACATTTATATCTAAGAATATAATTGGAACTAAGTGGCTGAAATTAATAACAATAGGTAACAGAGAACAATTCTATGTGCTAGATGCTATTCTAAGTTACACACACTCTGTCTCTTAATCCTTACATCTCCTGCAAGGTTTAGATATTATTCCAAATGTATGAAAGAGGAAATGAGGAAGCAAAGATATAAAATGGATGATATTAAATAAAACTGAAGATAGAATGTTCTAGAGTCAATTCAACTTAGATTCATTTCTTCATACAACAAATCTTTATTGACTATTGGGCCCTGTTGTCTGTACTGGGGACTGGGGCTGTAGCAGTGAGCAAAGCAAAGTTCCTGCACTCATGTAGCCTACAGGCCGGTGTTTAGAAAGAGACAACAAACAGATATATAATTCATTGGTGGTAATAAGCGCTATGAAGAAAGAGTTGGTGAAAGGGTTGGAATGTGGGGTGAGCTTAGTGCTCTTAGTGTCTTAGTACATTCGGGCTAATATAACAAAATACCTTAGACTGGGTAGCTTATACATAACAGATTTCTTTCTCATAGTTCTGGAGGCTGGGAAGTTCAAGTGACCAGTAGATTCAGTGCCTGGTAAAGGCATACTGTCTGCTTCATAGATGGTGCCTCTTGCTGTGTCCTCACATGGTAGAGGGGGTAAGATTGCTCCCTTCAACCTCTTTTATAAGGGCACTAATCCCATTCATGAGAGCAGAGCCATCTTGACTTCCTCACTTCCCCAAAGGCCCTACCGCTTAATACCGTTGTTTTGGGTACTAGGTTTTAACATAAAATTTTAGGGGGATGCCAACATTCAGACCGTAGCAGATGATAAGGAAAGGGCTTTCTCCTAGAGGTTGCCTGAAGAGCATGGGAGAGTGAGCCCTGTAGATATTCGGGAGAGAACATTTCAAGAGAGGGAAAAGCAAGTGTAAAAGCTCTAGCTGAGCTAATTTGTTTCTTACTGTATTCAAGGAACTGCAGAGAGAGCAAGGGGCCTGGCCATTGTAAATACTTTCACTTTTACTTGGGTGAGATAGAAAGTCCTTGGAGAGTTTTGAGCAGAGTAGTAGTCTGATCTGGTAAGTCTGCTGTGTTCCACTAGTAGATGTTTCAAATGGTAAGGTGATTATGAGAGTATAACTGTTATTCCAGGAAAAAGATAATTCCACCAATATCTATCATCAGTCCTTGTTTGTTTTTTCAGATTTTTTTTTTATGTGTACATTAACTTTAACAGTAGAAACTTGCTATTTTCTCTCATTTTTTTATGTGAGATTTATTAACTAAAGTGCTATTTTTCTGAATGGAGAGTGGGCCAGTAGCATTATACTATGTATTTTTAGGATTACAAAGAAGACATAAGTTAGCCCTGACAGGAAGATTGCAGTCTAGTTGGAAAGGAAATACTAAAATATGCAAAACAATAATTTTATGTTGTGGATCTATTCTATACAAGGAATTAATGTATCAAGGGATAAAAGTATAAGGCACAATGACTATCCTCAGACTGCTAATAGTCTAGTAGAGGCTGAGACAGAGAATTTCAAAGTCTACAAGTTTTGAGATGAGTTGAGTATTAATTCACCTGCCACAAGAGCCGTGAGGTGTAGAGCAAGCTTGTCCAACCTGCGGTTCATGCGGCCCAGGATGGCTTTGAATACAGCCCAACACAAATTTGTAAACTTTCTTAAACCATTATGAGGGTTTGTGTGTGTGTGTGTGTGTGTGTGTGTGTGTGTTTGGTTTTTTGTTTGTTTCGTTTTTTTTTAGCTCATCAGCTCTTGTTAGTGTATTTTATGTGTGGTCAGGACAATTCTTCCAATGTGGCCCAGGGAAGCCAAAAGATTGGACACCCCTGGAAAGAATATGAGAAGTGGGGGAAGTCTGGCCTGTGCATGCTTCAGAGAGCTGGTGGAGCTTGAAGAAGTGGAGGATTGGCAGAGGTTATTCAGGGCGTGGGAAACACTGTGAGCCAAGCACATAAAGTCAGGTGTATTTGTGGTAGTGGGCAAACCAGCCTTGAGCTGAGATTGTGTGTAGGATTATAAAGGAGTAATAACACTATTGTTTATTGAGCTTCTATTATGTACCAGTCCCTTCATTACACACTTGATGTTTATAACAACTTTATGAGGTATTATTGGCCCTCTTTTTACAAATGCTTAGCCAAGGTATCTGGAGGTTAAATTACTTTTGTAGGATGACACAGCTGGCAAATGATGGAAATATTACTTGAGCAGTTTGATTCTAGATACCATGAAAATCTATTATATTGGTAGAATTGGGGCTAGATAAGTGCCTAAAAGCTGGCAGAGTAGGCAACTCTTATGATTATAGTCAATAGGAAACTATTAAAGATTGTTGACTAGAAGTGTAACCTAGTGAAAACTCTTCAGGAGTATTATTCAGGCAATTGTGTGTATAGTGTATTGGACAATGACCTTTGCAAAGGTCAATTTAGAGGACAGACAGGAGGATTTAAAGAGAGTTGAACTAGGATGCTTGAATAGGAATTGAGATGTGAGTCCAGATGGGACCACTTTTTGGAATGTATTTTTTTCTTGATGATAAAAATATAGAAAACATACAAAGTTACAGGAAAATATGGAGCAGATGGAACTTACTCATTTCTACCATGTACCATGTAGAAATGACCCCTGTTAATATTTTAGGGCATTCCTTTTCAAATCTGTCCCATATCATGTGTTCCCCTCTGCCCTCCACCCTCCAATTTTGGAGAAAGCATCCACAAGGCTACATATCTCCTCTCATAGAGTGTGAAAGTTTTTAAGAAACAACATTCTAAAATAAGATGATTTTATTTGCACACATGATTTTATTTGTGGAATGAATGAGCTGGTAAATTCTGGAATTCAGTGAATGGAGAGGGATGAATCACAGGTAGCTTCTAGATTTTTAGATTGTGTGAATGGTTATATAGGAGAATCTAGCTAGGTTTTGATGGTGAAGTTGGAGTAGGGTGGGGGTGGGGGATGATCCAGAAGAAAATGGTGTTGAATTTGATGTGCTGGTATAGTATCCCAAGTTGGAATCTGGAGCTTAGTTGAGAATTTGGGGTCATCAAATAAGCCAGAAAATGTGGAGAAAAAATTGAGTTTAAAATGGCCACAATTCTGGTCAGAGTAGTGTTTCTGACACTTCAGTTTTTTTGAGGGCCATTCCAAGATTCAGTTATTTCCTTAATATCTTTAAATGACTCTTTTCCTTAAATACATTTATTTAAAGAGAAATTTTATATTGGTACCGTAAATGGAAAACTAGTATCACTGGCTTTGAATAGTTGGCAATGGCAACATTAAAATAACAACGAAATAATGGTATTAACTTTTAGATAGATGCTGTTACCTGCTAAATTCTCTGAGCCTAAATCTGCCCAGTAAAAAAAACAAAAAACAACAACAAACGACATGAAGATACTAAGATCTTGTAATTAGAAGGCTTGAGGGATTGAAAAGCTATTAACTTTCTCATGACATGATTGGTTATTGTATACATTCTACCTAAAGTGGGCATACATCCCACACATCCTAAAGTGGGGAGCATCAAGGTATGGTAGAGGGAAGAGGAATTGGCAGTGGGAATAGAGAGGAATTGATAAAATACCTTCTCAGTGTGTTAGGAAGTTTTATCTAGAATATAAATTAGTAAATGAAAATGTGGACAAGGTGCCTAACAATGATGAAGAAAATGCATTCTTAGATTTCAAATATAGTATCTATTAGAACATTTCTTTTGGTTATGATTCTGGTCTTATGATTGAGTCTTAGCAGGCTTATTTAATTCAACCATAATAATTCAGTAAATGACATTTGTAGATACAGGCTTAAACGTGAATTAGACTGTCATCTTTTTATATATGAACTGTCTCTAAAAAGGAAGAATTCCACCCCTTTTTAGATCCTACTTTGAGGGAATGTGATTATATATAATAGGGATAGGGAATAATTTTGAGGAATAGTTTTGTGAGTCATATACAAAGGTATGAACCAACACTGGTCACAGATGTGAAGTTCTTTTTACTTTTGGTGGATGGGGGAGGAATGAATGTATTAATGGTTTACTTGTGTTTTTGTTATCCTTAAAATGAAAATTTGTCCCTTAATTCTGAACACATTTTTGGAAGTTCTTTAAATTTATGCTGATTAAATCATTCTACTTTTCTGTGGATTATGCATAATAGTACTTTGTTGTTTTCTACATTATAAAATTAATTTTAAAGAATATCTAAGGGGAATGTATGTGCTTTCCCTGCCTTCTTTTCAAGCTGAATTGAGATGGTCCCAATTTAAGATGAACTTTTTCTGTTGAAAAAAGACTTGTTTAGGAATTGCCATCCTTAAAAAAAAAAAAATCATTGTATTGCTACATATGATGATTACAACCTCCCCCCTCCCCCTTTAAAAGAATGAGACAAGATATAAATAAATACGTAGTGTAATTGCCAGGACACAAAGCTCTGTAATGTACCTGAAGTACAGACTGCTCATGGCACCTAACCACCATTTTTAACAGTGATTCTGTGGGGGTGGAAAGACATTCGTGACTCCCGACCAACCAGTGAATCATTTTGGCATGTACCATGTTGAAGTTTGGAATAGAAATAATTGTTTCTAGCAGAAGAGATGTATTAGAATTAGATATCTCTTGCTGTTATCTGCTCTTGAATGTGCCAGAAATTGTATTCAGTAGAAGGTATAATTGTTAACATATTTCTTTTGCATTATATTAGGGCTTTTAAACTTAATTTTGAGCAACATTCAGTTTAGCATAACAAACAAATTAGATGTTAAGTGTTAGATTCACTGTAGAAATATGCTCCACTGCTCATCTGGAGATTTTTCTGGTTCTCAGTTTCTTCAAGCATATCAGGATTCTCGAACTCTGGAGGGTGTGGACGGTTGTGTGGAAAGAGGTGATGAATTGGCTGTATTACCTGAAAGTAAATTCCCCATCTTAATCAGTTGATGTTGGGATTTCATTATCATATTGTTTATTAAAACACCATTCTATTGTTGTTGATATATTTTCCAGGTTACAAGCATTCTTTACTAGACAGCATTAGCGTAGACATCTGTGGAAGCATGTGTGAAACAACTGTATGGAGAAACACCTATCTGTTTTTTTTGTTTTGTTTTTTTTGTTTTTTTGTGAGATGGAGCCTCCCTCTGTCACCCAGGCTGGAGTGCAGTGGTATGATCTCGGCTCACTGAAACCTCCGCCTTCTGGATTTAAGCAATTCTTCTGCCTCAGCTTCCTGAGTAGCTGGGTTTATAGGCACCTGCCACCACGCCCGGCTAATTTTTGTATTTTTAGTGGAGACGGGGTTTTACCGTGTTGGCCAGGCTGGTCTTGAACTCCTGAACTCAAGTGATCTGCCCACCTTGGCCTCCCAAAGTGCTGGTATTACAGGTGTGAACCACTGCACCTGGCTAACACCTATCTTTTGTATTAAAGGGACATCATTTATTAGAATGGACTTCACTGAATGCAGCTTTTCCAGTTGATAATGTAGTTATTCCAAGAAATCTTATATATAACACAGTTTACTGTGATTTTTTTAATTTTTAATTTTTTTTTTATTATAGAGTTGGGGTCTCACTGGTTGCCCAGGCTGGTGTCAAACTCCGAGGCTCGAGCGGTCTTCCCACCTCAGCCTCCCAAAGTGCTGGAATTATAGGTGTGAGTCACCATGCCCGGCCACTGTGATTTTTGGTTGATGACAGCTTATCCAGCAAATATTTATTGCATGCCTATGTGTCAGACATTTTTTAAGGTGCTCAGTATTCCGCAGAGAACAGGAGACATAATCTCTGTACGGATGGAGCTTTCATTATGATAAGTGAGAGGAGCAGCAAGCAAATTAATACATACAGTCTGGTAATTATAAATATGAGGGAAATGAATGCAGTGTGGTTTCAAAGCTATGTACCCCATTATGATGACCTTTCTTTAGTTTCCAGGCAAATTTATAGTCTGCCTCTGGTCTTCCTGTTGGAAGTGTTGCTGAAGCTAGAAGTAAATCTACCTACTCTAGCAGCAGCAGCAGCATCAGCATCAGCAGCAGCTGCCGCCTACAGCCTTTCCCTCCAAGGAGTCCCTTATTAATTTTGCTACATAACAAATTACCATAAATTCAGTGGCACCCACAGTTCTATACATCAAAAATCTGGATACATGTGGCTAGATTCTCTGCTCAGGATATCACAAGGTTGAAATCGAGGTGTCAGCTGGGATGATTTCTTGTCTATAGGCTCTGGCAAAGAATCCACTTCTAAGCTCATTCAGATTATTGGCAGAACTGAGTTCCTTGCAGCTGTAGGACTGACGTCTTGTTTCTTTGTTGGCTGTCAGCTGGGAGCCACTCTCAGCTTATAGATGCTGCCTTTATTCTTTGCCATATGCCCCCCCTCCATTTTGAAAGCCAGCTATGGAGAATATCGTTTTTGTCTAATCTCTCACCGACCAGTCTCTCTGACTTCTGTCTTCTAGACCCACGTTTGAAGGATTTTTGAGGTTAGTTCAGGATTATCCAGCTGGATAATCCCATTTTCTTAAAGTTAGCCTGATCATGAAAGTAAAATCCCATCATATTCATAGTCCTAGAGATTTTACAGGGTATATACATCATGGAGCAGGGATTTTGGATCTTAGAATTCTGCCTACTACTGACAGTCCCCATTGCATGGCTGCCAGTAAGTGATGCAGTCGCCTCTTGTGTGTGGTGTGTGAAGAGGAGCATTAGCAACCCTCCTTTGTACATCTGTCTATCACCAGAGACCATGAGCTTCTACGTGGTGGTAATGGAGATTCTTTTGGGCTGTGGAGAGGAGTTTGGGCAGTAGTTGGTAGGAACTGCTGAAGTTGTGAAATAGTGTCTTTGCATTTACCTCTTCAGTGCTAGGAGTAAGATGGGGAATGATGGCTTGGAGAAGAAAGCAGAGTGGAAGGGTAGGTTCTCATGCCCTACATCACCCCTGGGGTGCAGAGTTTAGCCATTTTATAGAAATGAGAACAACACCAGTGCTTTTATTTTTTAAATCCCAAATGAAAATTAGTATTAAATTGCTTTTACAGATTTTTAAAATTTGGCTGGGCCCGGTGGCTCATGCTTGTAATCCCAGCACTTTGGGAAGCCGAGGTGGGTGTATCAGTTGAGGTCAGGAATTTGAGACCAGCCTGTCCAACAAGGTGAAACCCCGTCTCTACTAAAAACACAGAATGTTTATTGCATGCCTATGTACCTGACAGTTTTTAAGGTGCTAAGTATTCAACAGAGAACAGGAGACATCTCTCTGTTCTGATGGAGCTTTCATTCCGATGAGTGAGACAAGCAGCAAGCAAATTAATAGATACAGCCTGGTAATTATAAATATGAGGGAAATGAATGCAGTGTGGTGGCAGGCACCTGTAATCCCAGCTATTCGGGAAGCTGAGGCAGGTGAATTGCTTGAACCCAGGAGGTGGAGGTTGCAGTGAGCCAAGATCATGCCAGTACACTCCAGCCTGGGTGACAGAATGAGACTCCATCTAAAAAAATAAATAAAAAGTTTTTAAGGGAATTTAAAGCATAGAACCAGGAGACTGAAGTGAGAGTTTATTTAAGAACACCAAATAAAACAAAGTACAGATGATCCCTGATTTACAATGGTGCTACCTTTGATTTTTTGGCGTCACAATAGATTTATTGGGATGTAATCCCTTCACAAGTCAAGGAATATTTATATACATTATAGAGGGAAAATAACATAAGTCTGCTATGTTAACAGTTGCATCCCATTATAAAAAATATATTTTTTCTCATAGATTATTATAATTTAATAATGTTCTTTTTATTTAATGTATGCTTTAAACATAAAATGTGCATTATGATAACTTTAAAAACACAAATAACTTTTCCTTCTTTCTCAAAGTAGAATTACAACCTGATGGAAATAAATGGACAACTATTTCCAGTTCCCCACTTTTTAAGTTGCTTACAGTTGTGCATCTGGTGGTAGAAGCCTAATCCCCCATAGACAGGGTCTCATTCTGTCACCTAGGGTGAAGTACAGTGGTGTGATCACAGCTTAGCGCAGCCTCAAACCCCTAGGCTCAAGTGATCTTCCCACCTCAGCCTCCCTTAGTAGCAGGAACTGACTACAGGCACATGCCACCATGCTGGGCTAATTTGTATTGTATTGTATTGTACTGTACTGTACTGTATTTGTAGAGATGGAGTCTCAGTATATTGCTTTGGCTGATCTCAAACTTCTGGCCTCTAGTGATCCTCCCACCTTGGCCTCCCAAAGTGCTGGGATAACAGGTGTGAGCCAATGTACCTGGCCTCTTCTAATTTCCAGTTTTTGTTTCTAAAAACTGAATATCACATGGTACCTAATATTAGCAAATGAGGAAATGGAAGCAAAGGAAGTGTGAACTTTCTTTTGTAGTAGTCAACTTTTGGCTTAATGTTTTGGGAATATAGTTCTGTGGAACATTTCTCTGCTTTTACAGTGGTGGAATAGTAGGATTCACTGTGTAGCTAACCTTGAAATACTAATTCCATAAAATAAAGGATATACATAATAAGAATCTGTTTAGCAATAGGGTAAATAAGCACTAAGGTGGTATTCTCATACTAGGGAAAATGTTTGCTTTATTACATCAGCAAATAATGTGTTCCACAAGTTTTGATTTATTATTTTAACTGTATAGGTGGTCTTACATCTAAAAAAGAATACCGCTTAAAAGACTTGTAGTACAGCATATAAGTTATATTAGACATGGAACTATGTTTCTGCCAATAACTCGACATTTTGAGGACAGATAGCATCTCATTTCCAATTTGAGATTGGGTACAAAAATATCCTAGGGCTGAGAATAGGCATAGTAAATTGCACCAACACAAACCTTTTGTGTATTTGTAGTGGAGGAAAAGTCTACATTGAGTTTGCGTGGAAAAATGTCATAAAAGCTCTTTATGCTTTTAACCAGTAGATTGGACCTCATTTTGTGATGATTACTTTGTATGATTAGTTTCCAATGCAGATTCCAAGAATGTTTCTGCACATGAGTTCCTTGTCTTTTTTCTGTTATTTTCACCTTTGGTTGATTGCAATCCACCCCCGACCACCATTTCTTGTTCAAGAAGTGTTTCATTAGTTTTTCTTCTCTTATTTTTATTTTCATGTTTTCTTTAATGTTTTTATACTAACCTAAAAATTTCTCCTAGTGCTTTAAAAAATTATGAGACAGTAAAGTTGTCTTTGGATGTTTTTTATTTTTACCCGAACACTATTTGAGTTGGCTTGCAAGACATGCTTATATTGCATAAATTTCTGTTCATGGGGAAGAGTCACTTTGAGCATTAACACTTCTGGGAATTGTTTCAAAATTTAGTTTATTGTCTTAATGTTAATAAGAGTTCCAGAAGTCTGGTTGGGGTTTGTTTTTGTTTTTTGTTTTTTGTTTTTTCCCCTATATCCCCAAAGACTATATTTGATTTTGTTTTAATTGGGTCCTGTAATACTTAATTGGTTTGATCCTGGATCCTTCATAAGCTATAATTACTTTTAGTAGTCTCTTGAATTTATCCAGTATTTTAGAATAATATCGCAAATACAGTTAGGCAGATAAATTTGGGAAGTACTGATATGTATTCTGTTTTTTTTCTTTTCTTTTCTCATCTGACTGATAACGTATTATTTAAATATATAGCAAAATCCAGAGAGAGAGAGTACTCATTCTCCCTAATATCCCTTATCTTTTCAAATGCTTTTATAGCATTTGAAAGATTCTTTTAGATCCAGTTCGGTGTCTACTTCTTCTTTCAAGCCCTCTATTATCTTCCCCTTCTCTAAATTTACAATTTCGTAGTTTACTTCTTAGTCATTTCTCTGTTTTGTATTGTTCATGAATTGTTTTAATGTCTTAATATTGGCAGCCTTCTATGGTTTGAATGTTTGTCCCCTCCAAAACTCATGTTGAAACTTAATCCCCAATGTGGCAATATTGAGAGGAAAAGCCTTTAAGAAGTGGTTAGGTCATGAGGGCTCTGCCCTCATGAATAGATTAATACATTCATGGATTAATGGATTAATGGGTTATCACGGGAATAGGACTGGTAGCTTTATAAGAAGAGGAAGAGAGACCTGAGCTAGCATGCTCAGCCCCACCACGTGATGCCCTCTGCTGCCTCAGGACTCTGCAGAGAGACCCCACCAGCCAAGAAGGCTCTCACCAAATGCGGTCCCTCGACCTTGGGCTTCCCTGCTTCCATAACTGTAAGAAATAAATTTCATATCTTATAAATTGCTCAGTTTTAGGTATTCTGTAATAAGCAACAAAAAACACACTAAGACACAGCCCTACTACAACATACTTCTTACCCCCTCTCCTACACTAGTCAATTTCAAACTCCTTGAGTGCAGGAGGAGTATGCCTTTCTTTCTGTCATGTTCCGACACATAATAGGCACTCAGTGATAAATACTTGGCATTTTTTTTGGTTGTTATATCTCTGACTATGTTTCTGTCCTGTTATATGGGTGTGCAATGTAAATAATAAGACAAATATTATTTTAATCTTTTTAAGCTTTTATAATACTTGTTTAATTGTTTGCAAATTTGTTTTATAGTTGACACATGAAATCCAGCAACTCTGTGTTGTAGATCAACAGAGCCCATTAGTACTGCTGGGAAAGGAAACCAAGGCCTCATAGCTTTTCTCTTCATATGAAAAGAACTTCATTAATTTTTAAAAAATTTAATAGACTGTGATGTAGTTTTAATCTCATGGTTTTAATCTTGTGTTTTTAAGCATTTTCCTTTTCTGGATGAGGTTCTTGGTTTTGACTGTGTAGAAGTATGTTAATTCGATTATATTTAGTTGATGAATTTGTGCCCCTAAGTATGGTACTTAAAAAGTTGCAGCCGGGCCCGGTGGCTCACGCCTGTAATCCCAGCACTTTGGGAGGCCCAGGCGGGCGGATCACCTTAGGTCGAAAGTTCAAGACCAGCCTGACCAACATGGAGAAACCCTGTCTCTACTAAAAATACAAAATTAACAGGGTGTGGTGGCACATGCCTGTAATCCCAGCTACTCAGGAGGCTGAGGCAGGAGAATTGCTTCAACCCAGGAGGCAGAGGTTGTGGTGAGCCGAGATCGCGCCATTGCACTCCAGCCTGGGCAACAAGAGCGAAACCCCGTCTCAAAAAAAAAAAAAAAAAAAAAAAAAAAAAAGTTGCTGCAGTGCTGCAGTTCTTGCAGATAAGATAATAAGATTGTTTACTGTTTTCTTTGCATATTTATTCCTGTGTGTATTTTTCTGTGAGGTAGCCTTTCAGTCTGTCCATTTGTATCATTTGACATTCAGACTTAAATCAACTCTACTATTGCTGGTGTTTACAAATGCTAGTCATTGAAAATGTCAAAATTTGGATTTGACCCAAGAGTTGCAAATAATGTAAGCTTTTATAAAATATATCCAAATATCTATTCTTAGGGAGAAAGAGAGAAAATACGGCATTTAAGGAGTGGTTTTTAACAGTTAGGCTTTAGAATTGCTACATTCCCAAAGTATTTCTCTAGTGAATGACATACCAGTTAATGAATTGTTCTACAAGAAAGGCATCTATTATGATTGGCCTCACTATTACTGGAAGTCCTAAGAATTAACAGAAATTAATAATGATAGTTGGAAAAAATGTATACTCTGTAGACAATTTTAGATCTTTTAAACAAAATCTTCTGGTTACCTTTCTAAATTAAATTTGTATTTTAAAATTAAAATGATATTTGTACATGTGTAGTTTAAAAAGTCAAATTGTATTACAAGGCTTATGAAAACAGTTCCCCATCTCTCTTCACCTCCAATTACCAATCTTTACAAGGCAGTCAGTTTCCGTTCTTTTAGTTATTTGTTCTGATATTTGTCTTCATTTTTCTAAGTCAGTTATTCTGCTTTTTGTTGGGTTTTCATTTTAGATAGTAGCTACTGACTTCCATCTAAGAAGGATGAAGATTAGTTATCTTAATCTCTCTACTGCCCACAGGCTTTTATACATACTTCCCTTTTTCTCATCTTTATAGGGTATCAGATTTTGGGGGTAGTTTAGTGTTTATTAAGACTATGCAAATATTTTTCACAACTGAGTCACAAAATTCACTAATTATATTTTGTTTTTCCAGATAATTATCCCAGTTTAAAATTTTTTTCTTGTTATTAATTCATTTACAATTATTTAACAAATCTGAAACAGCTCTTAATATGGTTGGACACATTAAGTAATCTGTCATCTCCATTTTCTCCTGGGAGATAGTCTACTGCATCCTGAGCAGAATTTCACATAATTTTCCTCTTTTTCAGTAAGACATTTTGTCTTGCTTCAGTTGTGACTTGTGTTCCTAAGATTGGGGTCTCTCATTCACCCTCTCCAGAGATGCATCTCCAGACTCTTATCAGGGATAGGGAGAAGATTGGTTTTCAGGGGGAGGCCACTTATAAGAATTTTCAGCCAGTCATATGGTTTCCAGCCCCATCCTGTGTTTTGTCTTCACTGTCCCTACAATACCTAAATCTTTCCAGCATGAGTCAACTTGCTGCTGCTTTTTTTGTTAAATTGTGGTAAAATATAATAACAAAATTTACGGCTACAACCATTTTAAAGTGTACAGTTCCATGGTATTAAGTACATTAGTGTGCAATAATCACCACTATTCATCTCCAGAACTTTTTCATCATCTCCAGCTGAGACTCAGCACCCATTAAGCAGTAACTCCCCATTTCCCCCTCCCTAGCTCTTGGCAACCATTATTCTACTTTCTGTCTTTATCAGCTTGCTTCCTGATGGCTTCTCCCTGTCAGGTTTAGGTTTCAACTTTCTTGGTCTTGATAGGTTATTCTTTTCCTTTTCTAGCTTCCAAAATGATGTTGATGACTCTCATTTGCTGTTGTGTCTTTCCCAATTCTCCTCATCCTTATGGGCTTTATACTTCTAAAAACTCCTATAACTTTTTAAAGCGAGGTCTCAGGAAGGGTCAGTCATGCTTTACATCCACCTTTCCCCTCCCAGCCCTCATTCCTTTGTTATTGTTTTTAAATTTAGGTTTATTTTATTAAGAATTTATTGGGAATTTACAGGTATGCCAAACAAAGGCAATTTTAACAGCCATGTTAGCTATAAAATTAAGTGTGATAAATGGACTTGTCACTGGCTTCTATTGTGTTTGTAGGGGTTTGATTCTGCAGATCTGTGGCAATCTCTAGCCCCCTCTTTCTCTCCCTAGCATACCTCATGTGGTGCCAGCTGTCCTAAGCCATATTCTGTGCTTCTGCTGCAGCACTTTTCATAGTGATAACCTGACCCATCTGTGGAGAATGATTTTGAGAGAGAAACTTATAGCCAGACACATTAAAAGTCTGTTATTCAAGTTACAATTGAGCTGTTTCCTTTCTGTGCAACTTCTCTGAGTGCCCTCGGTAGAGTTAATTACTCCTTCTGTGTCTTGACACTTGTGAATAATTCTATTTTATTCTGTCTCCGTTACATCTGTCTCTGTACGCTAGATATCTGTATTACAAGATCTGCCTCTTTCTTCCCTAAACTGTTTTCAAGGTTTGAAAAATACATATTCTGATACAGTTCTTGGCCCATGATAGATAATAAATAATTATTTACTAAATAAATAATCCATCCAAATTGATTGAACACCCTATTTTCTGGCAAGCGTATTGTCATTGTACCCTTTATCACTAATGTCCACTGAAAGCTGTGCCAGAAACTGTATTTGCTTTTGCTTGTTACTTGGAGTCAATAATGTGTAGTGATTAGGCGTGTGGCCAGAATGTCTTGGTTCAAAGAAACAAGCAAGTTTCTTTATCTTCTGTTTCTTTGCCTGTGAAATAGAGACAATAATAGCTAGCATGGAATGTGGTGAACATTAAATTAATACATCTAAAGTGCTAGCTCAATACCCTGCACATTGTCTTTATAGTGAATCTGTTTTTCATCTTTATGGGATACCTGCTATAATAACATTAGTACCTGTGAATAAAAATCAATGTAAAATGAAAAATCTAGTTAGTATTTAAAAGATTTAGCCCTTTGAAGCTCTTTGAACATGTTCTGAAATTATCTTCGTGGACAGTGTGCCATTTAGATAATAAACTGGGAGAAGTAGTATCTTTCAGTGTTACATACCTACTAAAATACTGTATTCTTTAAATATACTATAAGGTATCCAACTCTTTTAAACATATAGAGATACTTTGAATGGCAGTGCCAGTACTTGTGCTTTTTTTCTCCCTGAGGAGGGTTTTATGCAGCCCATCAGTAAATTTGATATTTGGCATCATTTGTCTTCTCATTTGAGAACCTGCAGGATTTAATTCTCCCCTCAGAGACTGTGTGCTAAGGGAAGGGAAACCTCCATCATTCATTAAGCAGTCAATGAATACTTGCTTATGTACTAGATGTTTTGGACACAAGGGAGAATAAGACACAGTTGTTTTCCTAAAGGGACCATCATCTCTTCATCATTTCAGTAGTAATAAAATCAAATGTTCCGGCTGAATGTGTGCACACTCTTTGACCCAGAATTCCATTGATAATGTTTTATAAATGGAATAAAAATGTACAGAAGTGTGTGTAGAAAGTGTTCATCAAACTGTTAATTATAAAAGCAATAAAAATATCAGTTTTAGTATATTCATTATATTTCCCACAGTTTCAATTAGAAACGTGATATTACTTAATTAAAATTTTGTTTTAAAAAAACTCTGAACTGGTGGATTTACATGGAGATGAATAGAGGATTAGGTCAGTCGTTGAGTTCTATGATCCATTACAAAGGAATGGTAAACTGCTCATATCCGTGTTAGGGCCCCCATTTCTTACTATATATACGACTGGCTAGTTGGTTATTGAAAATTCTGTAAATCTTGTTTCTTTTCTTCCATCTATAAAATGGGCACAGTGTTAGTAGTTATGAAGTTTGTTTTGAGGATTAAATGAACAATGTATGTAACCTAAAAACAAAAAATACCTCAGTAAATATTGGCTGCTCTTATTGTTCCTGTTTTTCTCTATACTCTTTATCTGTTTAATGAGTTTTCTCTGCAGCTTTTGTTCAGTCAGTCTCAACCAGGGATGACAGTGTTATATTTAATCTGACAGCTCCCATTGCTTTGTAACAGAGGTTTCTGAAGCCTTTGCCAGACTCCACAGAGCTGTCACCTGTTACCTGTGTCTGCCAATTTTGAAGGACGAGAAATAGCAGTACATGTGTCTTAGGTTTGCCTTCCTTGCTGTAAACCTTTTATCTCTTTATACACACCCTCCCTCCCTGTTCTCTTTTGGGTTTCATGTACTTTTTGATCTTGCACCTTATTTTAATAGGAGTCTGTTAGCTCATCTCTTTTTGGCGGGGGAGGGGAATATTTTGACTGTTACTGTTATTTCATAGCATAAATTACTCTTTATAACAGGGTAGTAATTCAGAGCTAGCCTTAGGACCTTTTTAGCTCTGCTTCTTCTAGGCTTCTCATAAAACACAAATATAGCTAGTTTGTAAGACTTATTTGTGCAAGCCTCATTTAAGAAAGAAGACCTGGATCTTGTATGAACTTTTTCCTTTTATTCCCTTGAGTAGAAAGCTCACACTACATTTAGTATAAGAATCAAATGCAGAAGAACTTTTTTCTAAGGGATTGTGGTATCTTTATAAGGTGAGTGGATTGTGACCAGAAAAGAATTTTTTTTGTTGAGTTGCATACACTTAAATTCATGGTGTTTAGGTATATGTTCTGAGGGCATGCAGTAAATAACAACTTGTATATTATAATTGATGGTTAAGAAATAGCCCTTGGCACATATGCAAAAATGATTTTACTTTATAACACATCCCGGGCATTACCTAGAAATGAAGTTATAGACACTATAAAAAGTTTTCACTTTCCTTGATGGCTTTTTCTGTACTGATGGGTCTAGAGTATTTATGAATTATCATAAATCAGAACGTTATGTTAAAAAGAATACAAACAGTTGAAATCACTTGCTTTGGATTTAGTATTTTCTTGTTATTTTAAATTCAGGAATCATGCCATATGGTATTCAGTTAACTTCATTTCAGTTAACTTTATTTTGAAGGGCAAAAGGAAGATGTCTTAATGACATCATTCAGCTAGGAATCAGAAGATAAGTTCCTTGGGTAAGTTGCTCAACTCTCAAGGCCTCAGCCACTTGTAAGGTGTAATGTAGCTCTAATGCATGAGCATGAACCTTGAAATTCTGTGACTTCTCCTCCCGCCCCCAAATCTCTGGCAAAGTTTGGAGTTTGTTTTTTTTTTTTGACCTTTTAATACATTGGATGTACATTAACAACAATATACCTTTCCAAATTCTTCTTTCTTTTTTCCTAAATTTTAATCTGAAAAGATTTGCTTTTTTAAACTCTCTTTTTTTTTAGGTTGGCAGTCAACAATCACCTTTTTAAAAACTATGCTTGATTTTGTTCATATATATATATTTTATTCATTAAAACATAGTTTCAACCCCATATGGTAACTGGCTCCTGAGAATAGGGAAACTAGTCCCCAAGCTTCAGCCTCCCCACAAACCTTGTATCAACATTTTTACTGATGAGTAATAAAATTAACAGATTTGAGCTGTAACATTCTGAACACTGGAAAAAGCATTACTGAACTGTAAAATAGACCTGCAGAGAAATCTGGCAGAGGAGGAGGAGTGTGCGTTAGCCTGTGACAATGAGGCACTGACTTACTATGCACTATTTTAACAGAGAATTGAATAGTTTTGCTATTTAGATATTTTACTGAGTTATTTTTTTAAACAAAAGAGGAATATATATGGTTTTCTGATAATAATTAAAAATTTTTTGACCTAAAAATGACCCTTGGGGGTGGGGCTCCTCAAGTGTAAAGCTCCTGCTGGGAAGAAAATTGTTGGGAATACATAGGTTGGTTTTAGGCATGGTGGAATCATTTGTTACCTCAATGAAAGCTACTCCTTGGATAGAGTTGTTTTCCTGTGATATCACTTCTCCTTGACAGTGTTCCTTTGAAATAAATCTAAATCTGCCTAGATATTTCTCACTTTCTAAATTAAGAAAATAATTATCTATAATTTATAAAAATAAAATTCGAAGTCTTCCCAGGATAAATCCATTGGTTAAAAGCAAACAATACTTTTTGAGTTTCTTTGGAGAGATGGAAAATTGCTTTTTTTTTTCTGTGTGGGTGAGGCAGGTGAGAATAGATTTCGCCCCTGCATGATGTCAATCAGAATTTTTGGTTAGTAAAAACCAAATCAAATATGTTTTAAAAGGAAATTGGGTAGAGCTCAGTGGCTTATCAAATTGTTGTGAGGGTTGGAGAACCAGATTCAGGGCTAAGCAACCAGAAACAATGCTCCAAATCACATTGCATAATTCCCATGAGGATGCCAGTACCATCTAGAGACAGACGGATGGATGCCACAACCTGTCCCAGCAACACTGCTGGCTCTGGATGACTCTAAATGCTGCCACCTCTGCCCCAGACTTGACCTTGCTGAAACTGCTCCACCATTAGTGTGAGAATGAGCTCCTTCTGCTCTCTGCTTCTGCTCACTAATTCGCTACTCTGGGATGCACATGTGTGTTTGGCAAAACATGTATCCTAGATGTATGGGACATGTGGGAAAGTGTTTAACCTTCTGCAATTATAAGACGGGAGGATGGCCAGATGCAGTGGCTCATGCCTTTAATCCCAGCACTTTAGGAGGCTGAGGTGGGTGGATCACCTGAGGTCAGGAGTTCTAGACCAGCCTGGCCAACATGGCGAAACCCCATCTCTACTAAAAATACAACACTTAGCCAAGCGTGTTGGTGTGTGCCTGTAATCCCAGCTACCTAGGAGGCTGAGGCAGGAGAATCATTTGAACCTGGGAGGCGGAGGTTGCAGTGAGCTAAATCACACCACTGCACTCCAGCCTGGGCAACAGAGTGGGACTGTGTCTCAAAAAAAAAAAAAGATGGGTGGAGTTCTCAAGAACTCCAAGCTGTAGAACCAGTGTTTTACCTTCTGAAATCATATGGCAGGAGAAGTTCAAGCAGACAAAAAGAATAATAGATGTTCACTGCACCTGATGTTTCAGATAAAATGTGAAGCCCTCAATATGTGCCACCATGCTAAATGTTATACAAGAATTATCTGTGTCATCCTCACAACAAACTTGTTAGTTTCATTTTAGAGATTAAAAGATAGACCAAGAGCAGGTAACCTGCCCAAGATTGTACAGTTAGTGATAGCAGTGTTGGGATATAAATTCAGAGCTATGACTCCAAAGCCAGTGCTAACTACTTAATTAAACTGACTTTTAATGTCTTTTCTGTCCTGATGCATTTAGCTCAAAATTCTGTAAATGAATCTGTTAGATTGAACCTACTATGTTTATTAAGATTTTGTGTATGGCATGTTTATGTGTTTAGGTAGTTTAAGGAAAGCTGAAAGTTTCTGGCTTTAATTTTTTCTATTTTCAGCTGATGATTAAATAATTTCTTATTCTTTTTCTCACTTTGTGACTATTTTTATAATTCACTTTGCCTCAGACTACAACCTGATAAAATGCTTTGTTTCTGAATATCAGTGCTTAGAAATGAGTTACTGAGTGTGAGAGACAGGCTGACATAAAAGGAGAGGGGATATAGAGTGACCGAGACTGAGGGAGGAAGGGAAAAACATCCCTCGCGCTCTCTTGCTGTCTCTCTCTCTCACACACATACACATACTCACACCCACTCCTCGAGAGGGAGAAACAAAGACAAATACATGTGGAAGAGAGGGTATGCACACACATTACCCTGAAAGCAACATTTTTAATCTTTTGTTCCCTCTAATGGTGGGTTGAAAAACAATTAAAATTTTCCCTTTCTGTATCAGGAAAGTCATTGAGGTCTTTTTTTTTTTTTTTAAGTTTGAATCTGTGCTTTCCCTAGAGTAAACAGTAGATCTTAAGCCTCTCTACCAGTTTACATTTTATATTGGTTTATGTATTTTTAGTTTGACCGCCCCACCCCCACCCCCACACACTGCAAAAGGTGTCATATCTAGGAGAAATAAACAAGAACTGTTATTTAACCCCGGGAAATATCCAGCTTGGTTTGGGCAAGAGGAAATGGTAAAGACAAACTCCCATAGTTTCTGTGATGTCAATTAAGCTGGAGTATTTATTCGTAAACCACCTCTCGTTAATTATTACTTTAGTACAAGTCTGTCCTACAGATTTTTCTATACTTCCCAAACAGTATTTCATAATAATGTTATTTTATTCACTTGTGCCTTTAAGACTAAATGGGCAGATATATTTTTGTAAAAGTGAGTAGATTATTATTATTATTATTATTACTATTTTTTTTTTTTTTGAGACGGAGTTTCGCTCTTGTTGCCCAGGCTGGCGTGCAATGGCGCGATCTCGGCTCACAGCAACCTCCGCCTCCCTGGTTCAAGCCATTCTCCCGCCTCAGCCTCCGGAGTAGCTGGGATTACAGGCGTGTGCCACCACGCCTGGCTAATTTTGTATTTTTAGTAGAGACGGGGTTTCTCCATGTTGGTCAGGCTGGTCTTGAACTCCGGACCTCAGGTGATCCACCCACCTCAGCCTCCCAAAGTGCTGGGATTACAGGCGTGAGCCACTGCGCCCGGCCAAAAGTGAGTAGATTAAGTGCCCTTCCACACACATGCTCTTGTAGACCGTCTGAATGTGGGCTGGGTGCTAGAGATGTGCTTGATGTAAGGTAAATATCCATGAAATTAAAAGTGATTTGTGTTCTGTTTAAATATTAAATTGTCAACATTGAGTATACTATACCTTTTGTCCTTATCTCCATCTGATCTTTCCTAGCATATAACTTTTAATATGAGAAATGTTATTTCTTTATAATTTTTTTGTTTTAATCCAGTACTAGCTGTATAAAATGGATTTTTGCATAAAAGCAGTTGATGTTATATATTCTTCTATTCTGCCACTTTTAAGATTTATGCTTCTTATACAAACTTTTTAGTGAATCAGTTTTGAAATGAGCAGTAGTCCATTTTTGAAAACAGTGTTGGCATATATAGACTTAGGATCCCTAATCCAAAAATTTGAAATCTGAAATGCTCCAAAATTCAAAACTTTTTGAGCACCAACATGATGCTACAGTGAAAATTTCACATCTGACCTCGTGTCATGGGCTACAGTGAAAACACAGGCACACAACACACAGCTTATTCATCCTCCACAAGGGAAAAAAGACCCTCCCAGCCCTCACAGCTGTAGTTACCTTTTCTGTGTGCAGAATGATGATAGTGCTAAACCACCACAGATTGTCCACGTGGGTGGCTGAGATAGCAACACCTTTGCTTTCTGATGGTTCAATGTATATACAAACTTTGTTTCATGGGCAAAATTATTTAAAATGTTGTATAAAATTACTTTCAGCTTATATGTATAAGGTATATATGAAATGTAAATGAATTTCATGTTTAGACTTGGTCTCATTCCCAAGATATCTCATTATGTATATGCAGATATTCCAAAATCTGAAAAAACTGTGAAATTCGAAACACTTCTGGTTTCAAGCATTTTGGATAAGGGATACTCAACCTGTACATTTTTTTTTTTTTAATCTTTAGGGGCATTTGCCAATGGTGAATCTAACTAATCATCTAGATAAGAAATGGTGTGTGAGGCCAAAGCAGTGATCCACTGACCCTAGACTGTCCTAAAGAGCCACACCAAGGAAACAGATTTCTTACTGGAATTCTGCCATTCCTAAAGGGCACATAGGCCATTTCTAATTTCCTTTAACTCATAATTCATGCATTTATTTAAACTCTTCAGCATTGCTGTCGGTTCTGATTCATATTTAATACATGTATGTTATACATGTATTAAGCTAAAATGTCCTATAAATTTGTTGGAATGTGTAATTCTGGGGGGAAAAACATTTATATTGCGAACTTGAGTTCTTTCCTTGCTCATAAGCTACTTCATTTTCTTTACCTGTAAAATATAAAATGATTTCACAGGCATTTTCCCCCCACTCTAAAAATATGTTGTAATGTGGCAAATTTATAGGGCTTGTCTTTTTTCCTCTTCTTCTTAGCATTTTTTTCCTATATTGCATTTATATATAAAATATTAAGCATTTTTTTTATGTATAAGGAATGAGGCACAAGTTAGGGAGGACCACTGAATTCATTTGGCTTATCTTAACTAAGTTTTGTGGATTTCATGAGAAACACTATTTCACAGCAGTAGTTCAGAGAAAACAGGTATAGCTTGTCTTGAGTGCTTTGAGATATGGATTTATTGAAGACCTCTTCATGAAACATGAATTCTACTTCTCAATTTGTTGGAAACTGGTTGAACACGTTGGTGATTCCTTCTTTGTCTTTTGTACAATTCCCACTTATGAGAAATTACCTTAGAATTTAGTTGTGGGAAAATTTGTCTCTATATCCTGTACACTCCTGAAAAATATTTAGAGCCTACCAGAACTACTGACAAATGAAGATAGTGTTTTCCTTCTGACAGATAAAGGCAGATTTTTTTTTTTTAATTGTAACTATTTTTGGCCAGGGGGCTCACGCCTGTAATCCTAGCACTTTGGGAGGCCGAGGTGGCAGATTGCTTGAGCTCAGGAGTTTGACACCAGCCTGGGCAACATGGTGAAACCCTGTCTCTGTGAAAACATAGAAAAAATATAATTAGCTGGGTGTGGTGGCACATGCCTGTAGTCCCAGCTACTTTGGGGGCTGAGGCAAGAGGATCACTTGAAACCAGGAAGTCGAGGCTGCAGTGAGCAGAGATGGCGCCACTGCACTCCAGCCTAGTTGACAAAGTGAAACCCTGTCTTAAAAAAAAAAAAAGTTGTAGGCCAGGCACAGTGGCTCATGCCTGTAATCCCAGCACTTTGGGAGGCCGAGGCAGGTGGATCACCTGAGGTCTGGAGTTCGAGACTGGCCTGACAAACATGGAGAAACCCCATCTCTACTAAAAATACAAAAGTAGCCAGGTGTGGTGGTGCATGCCTGTAATCCCAGCTACTTGGGAGGCTGAGGCAGGAGAATCGCTTGAACCCGGGAAGCGGGTAGCGCCCTTGCACTCCAGCCTTGGCAACAAGAACAAAACTCCGTCTCAAAAAAAAAAAAAAAAAAAGTTTTAACTGGTTTTCATTGACTTCTATTTTTGAAGTTATGGATTATTGCGTAGAAAATAAGGGGGCCAAGGTGTGTTTTATACAAATTGCATCCACTTCTGAGGAAGTTAATGGACTGGGTGACAGTCTCTGGGACACATAGATATGAAGATACCATCTTCAAGAAGAGGTTGTCAAATACTGAGGTGTTTTGGTATTCATGTAAGTCAGTTCCCTGGGATTGTATAAAAGGCAAACCTGCTTTAATACCAGGCTGCTCTTCATAGTGAATATTTTGTGTATTGCATTAAAATTCATGAAAAACAGTAAAATCACAGACTCTGATGACGTTTACATTTGTATGCCTCTCTTATGCATAATGTTGAAGACATAGAAGAAAACTCACTCTGGAAGTTTCATTTTTTTAAGTTCAGGAATACGTGTGCAAGTTTGTTATATTGGTAAACTTGTGTTACGGGGTTTGTTGTATAGATGATTTAATCATGCAAGTACTAAGCCTAGTACCCAATAGTTATTTTTTTCTGCTCCTCTCCCTCCTCCCACCCTCCACCCTCTGGTAGGCCACAGTTGTCTGTTGTTCCCCTCTTTGTGTCCATGTGTACTCATCATTTAGCTCTCACTTATAAGCGAGAACATGGGGTATTTGGTTTTCTGTTCCTGTGTTAGTTTGCTTAGGATAATGGCCTCCAGCTCCACCTTTTGTTGCTGCAAAGGACATGATCTTGTTCTTTTTTATGACAGTTTAGTATTCCATGTTGTATATGTACCACATTTTCATTATCCAGTCTACCATTAAAGGGCATTTAGGTTGATTCTGTGTCTTTGCTATTGTGAATAGTGTTGCAGTGATCATATATGTGCGTATGTCTTTATGACAGAACGATTTATATTCCTTTGGGTGTATACCCGGTAATGGGATTGCTGGATTGAATGGTAGTTCTGTTTTTAGCTCTTTGAGGAATCACCACACTGCATTCCACAGTGGTTGAGCTAATTTACACTCTCACCAACTGTATATAAGCATTCCCTTTTCTCTGTAACCTTGCCAACACGTTATTTCTTGACTTCTTAATAATAGTCATTCTGACTGGTGCGAGATGGTATCTCATTGTGGTTTTGATTTGCATTTTTTTAGTGATTGGTGATACTGAGCTTTTTTTCATATGCTTGTTGGCCACGTTTATGTGTTCTTTTGAAAAGTGTTGGTACGTGTCCTTTGCCCACTTTTTAATGGGGTTGCTTTTCTCTTGAAAATATGTTTAAGTTCCTTATAGATGCTGGATATTACAGCTTTGTCAGATGCATAGTTTGCAGATATTTTCTCTCATTCTGTAGGTTGTCTCTTTTCCTCTATTATTAGTTTTTTTTTTTTTTTTTTTGCTGGGCAGAAGCCCTTTAATGTAATTAGATCTCATATGTCAGTTTTTACTTTTGTTGCAATTGCTTTTGGCATCTTCGTCATGAAATCTTTGCCGGTTCCTATGTCCAGAATGATATTGCCTAGGTTGTCTTCCAGAGTTTTTATAGTTTGGGGTTTTACATTTAAGTTTTTAATCCCTCTTGAGTTGATTTTTGTAGATGGTGTTGGAAAGGGATCCAGTTTCAGTCTTCTGCATATGGCTATCAGTTATCCTAGCACCATTTGTTGATTAGGGAGTCCTTTTCCCATTGTTTGTTTTTATCAAGTTTGTTGAAGACCAGATGGTTGTAGTTGTGCGGCCGTATTTTTTTGCTTTATCTTCTGTTCTATTGGTCTGTATGCCTGTTTTTGTACCAGTACCATGCTGTTTGAGTTACTGTAGCCCTGTGATGTAATTTGAAGTCAGGTAGCATGATGGCTCCTGCTTTGTTCTTTTTTCTTAGGATTACATTGGATATTTGGGCTTTTTTTGTGGTGGTTGTTCCGTATAAATTAAAAAATTTTTTTTTCTAGTTCTGTAAAGAATGTCATTGGTAGTTGATAAATTGCTTTGGGCAGTGTGGCCATTTTAACGATATTGATTCTTCCTATCCATGAGCATGGAATGTTTTCCCATTTGTTTGTGTCATCTCTGATTTCTTTGAGCAGTGTTTTGTAATTCTTGTTGTAGAACTCTTTTACTCTCCTGGTTAGCTGTATTCCTAGGTATTTTTTTTGTGTGTGTGGCAATTGTGAACAGAATTGTATTCCTGATTTGGCTCTTAGCATGGCTGTTGTTGGTGTATAGGAATGCTAGTGATTTTAGTACATTGATTTTGTATCCTGAAACTGCTGAAGTTGTTTATCAGATCTAGGAGCTTTTGGGCTGAGACTGTAGAGTTTTCTAGATATAGAATTATGTTGTCTGCAAACAAGGATAGTTTGACTTCCTCGCCTCCTATTTGAATGCCCTTTATTTCTTTCTCTTGCCCGATTGCTCTGGCCAGGACTTCCAATACTATGTTGAATAGAAGTGGTGGCAAGAGGGCATCCTTGTTTTGTGCTGGTTTTTAAGGGGAATGCTTCCAGCTTTTGCCCTTTCAGTATGATGTTGGCTGTGGGTTTGTCATAGATAGCTCTAATTATTTTGAGGTATGTTCCTTCAGTACCTAGTTTGTTGAGAGTTTTGTTTTTTGTTTTTTGTTTTTTGTTTTTTTTGAGATGGAGTCTCGCTCTTTCACCCAGGCTGGAGTGCAGTGGTGCGATTTGGCTCACTGCAAGCTCTGCCTCCCGGGTTCACGCCATTCTCCTGCCTCAGCCTCCCAAGTAGCTGGGACTACAGGTGCCCGCCACCGCACCTGGCTAATTTTTTGTATTTTTAGTAGAGACGGGATTTCACTGTGTTAGCCAGGATGGTCTCGATCTCCTGACCTCGTGATCCACCTGCCTCGGCCTCCCAAAGTGCTGGGATTATAGGCGTGAGCCACCGCGCCCAGCCTTGTTGAGAGTTTTTAATGTGAAGAGGTATTGAATTTTATTGAGAGCCTTTTCTGCGTCTATTGAATTGATCATGTGGTTTCTATCTTTAGTTCTGTTTATGTGATGAATCACATTTATTAATTTATATGTGTTGAACCAAACTTGCATCCCAGGGATAAAGCCTGCTTGACTGTAGGGGATTCACTTTTTGGTGTGCTGCTGGATTTGGCTTGCTTGTTATTTTGTTGAGGATTTTTGCATCTATGTTTATCAAGGATATTGGCTGAAGTTTTCTTTGTGTGTGTGTGTGTGTGTGTGTGTGTGTGTGTGTGTGTGTGTGTGTCTCTGCCAGGTTTTGGTATCAGGATGATGCTCACCTCATAGAATGAGTTAAGGAGGAGTCCCTCCTCCTCAGTTTTTTTGGAATAGTTTCAGTACAGATGGTACTAGCTCTTCTTTTATTCATTTCTTCTAGATTTTCTAGTTTGTGTGCATAGAGGTGTTCGTAGTAGTCTGTGATGGTATTTTTATATCTGTGGGATCAGTAGTAACATTGTCTTTGTCATTTCTCATTGTGTTTATTTGTATCTTCTCACTTCTTTTATTAGTCTAGCTAGCAGTCTATCTATTAATTTTTTTCAAAAAGCCAACTCCTGGGTGTATTGATCTTTTGAATGGTTTCTTGTGTCTCAGTCTACTTTGGTTCAGCTCTGATTTTGGTTGTTTCTTGTCTTCTGCTAGCTTTGGAGTTAGCTTGCTCTTTCTTCTCTAGTTCTTTTAGTTGTAATTTTAGGTTGTTTATTTAAGGTCCTTCTGACTTTTTTATGTGAGCATTTAGTGCTATAAATTTCCCTCTTCACGCTGCCTTAGCTGTGTCTGAGATTCTGGTTGTATCTTTGTACTCATTAGTTTCAAATAATTTCTTGACTTCTGCTTTAATTTCATTGTTTACCCAAAAGTTATTAAGGAGAAGGTTAATTTCCATGTAACTAAGGTTTTGAGCAATTTTCTTAGTCTTGAGTTCTATTTTTCTTATGTTGTGGTGCAGAAAGGTAGTTGGTATGATTTTGGTTCTTTTGCATTTGCTAAGGATTGTTTATATTCAATTGTGTAGTTGATTTTAGAGTATGTGCCGTATGGCGATAAGAAGAATGTATATTCTGTTTTGGGGTGGAGAGTTCTGTAGATTTATATCGGGTTCATTTGGTCCAGTGTTGAGTTCAGGTCCTGAATATCTTTGTTAATATTCCTCCTCTAAGGTCTGTCTAACACTGTCAGTGGGGTGTTAAAGCCTCATACTTATTATTGCATGGGAGTCTAAGTCTCTTTGAAGATCTCTTAAGAACCTGCTTTATGAATCTGGGTGCTCCTGTGTTGGGTGTATGGATATTTAGGATAGTTAGGTCTTCTTGTTGAATTGAACCTTTTACCGTTATGTAATGCCCTTGTCTTTTTTGATCTTTGTTGGTTTAAGGTTTGTTTTGTCTGAAATTAGGATTGCAACCCCTGCTTTTTCTGTTTTCCATTTCCCTGGTAGATTTTTCTCCACTCCTTTATTTTGAGTCCATGGGTGTCACTGCATGTGAGATGGGTCTCTTGAAACAGTATACCATTGGGTCTTGCTGCTTTATCCAGTTTGCCACTCTGTGCCTTTTAATTGGGGTAGTTAGCCTATTAACATTGCAGGTTAGTATTGATATGTGTGCGTTTGATCCTGTCATCATGATGTTAACTTGTTATGCTGACTTTTTTGTGTGGTTGCCCTGTAGTGTCACTGGTCTATGTACTTTAGTTTGTTTTTGTAGTGACTGGTAAGGGTCTTTCCTTTCCATATTTAGTACTTCTTTCAGCAGCTTTTGTAAAGCAGGTCTAGTGGTAACAAATTCCTTCAGCATTTGTTTGTCTGAAAATGATCTTATTTCTCCTTCATTTATGAAGCTTGGTTTGGCCGGATATTAAATTCCAGTGCTCCAGGAACACTGGTCACCACACTCCAATGGGCAAGTGCCAGCCAAAGCACTTCATAGGGTGATAGCAGCAGGCTTGGTCCTTGTACTCGTTTGCACGTGCCAACAGCAGTGGCAGTGTGGACGTGTGTGGACTGTGGCAAGGTGCTAGCCAGCGCCGGGGTGCCAGCCTCCATGCAGGCATTTGCAGCAGCTGGGTGGCAGCATGGCTGGAGGAGGGCAGGGGGTCCCTGCAAGGAATAGAATTGGGCACTCATGGGGGCAGTCTGCTGTTCTCCATGCTTAGTTTTGGGCAGGCAGCAGTGTCGGCGGCAGGGGCTGGTGGTCTCATTGCTGCCAGTGCTCCTATGACAGTGGTGGTATGGTGGGGGATAGGGGACGGGGGTGCACTCACGGCAGCAGAGGCATGGCAGGGTGCAGACACCCTGGCTGGGAAGGGAAGACAAGATTCCTGCTGGCACACACATGCTGGCAAAGTGATGTGAGGGGTTGCTGTGGGCTAGTGCTTGTAGGCAAAGCAGCACAGGGGAGGGCACAGTTGGGGGAGGGCACAGGCAGCCTGGTGTGTGTCTGTGGGGCAGCTCTGCTAGAGCACTCTGCCAGTCAGGCATGGCCTGCCAGTGCAGGAGCTGTGATGCGGCCCCCAGGAGGTACCTGGGGGCTGCACTGCATGCAGGTGTGGCCAGGGTGGGACCCTGGGAGAGGCCAGCTGACTAAAGGGTGTTCACGTCAAACTGGCCCTGTTTCATGGACAAGACTGGCTCTGCAGAGTTCAGATCTGACAGTTTCACTAGGGCTAAAATCTCCTATGGGGGCAGGTCAATTCTAGGGGAATGGGCATCCCTGGCCGTGTTCCACTACAGAGGCTGCAGCACCAAACCCTCTAGACTTGGCACAGGCTGGAGTTCTGCTACTACCACTTCTCTAAGTAGCTGTCCCTGCCAACTCAAGTGTCCATGGTGGCAGAGGGGTCTCTTCCTACTGGGATTCCAGAGGCCCCTGGTGAGAGCAGGTTGCTCCTTGCCTGTTCAACTCACCCCTTCTGCAGGAATCACTGGGGGCCAGGAACTAGTCCTGGGTGCCTGGTAGCCCTGTGTAGGGTTCCCAGCTTCCTCCCGCTTCAGCTATGCCCTGTATCTTTCTTCCCTCTGATCTTAATGCCTTCCCTCTGAAGGTTTGCTAGGAGTGCACGAGTCTTCCTGATGTCCCAGTCCCTTGGTGGGAGCTGTTTCTCCTGGCTTCATGTAGTCAGCCATCTTGGAGAGTCCTCCACTCTGGAAGTTTTTACCTTGATGCTCTAAATCAAATCACAATGTTAAGATGTAATATTGTTTTTTTTTTTTTTACTAAAAAAATGCATTTTATGTCATGGCCTAGAATGTGTGTAGCATGTTTTTATACAAACCACAAGTATTTAAATATGCATTATTCATACTGTTTGTGAGTATTCAAGAGGAAGGAAGGAAAGGAGAGAAAGATGAGACAAACATTGACTATAGAGAGACTGTGTGTATGATAAAGTTTCAAGAAACAATACATATCTATGTGCTCTGTGATCTGCATTTCCTTAAAATACAAAACAAAACAAGTAAATGCCACAGGTGATAACCCCCAACATTGATTTCAAAACCATGCAGACCTTCCCATTATCTTTATATGTTCCTAATTCTAGGTCTGCACACGGAGTCTTTGTTACTGAGAAAGGAACACTAAAATCCTAAGGCTTAAAAAAAATAAAGTTGTATTGTTTATAATTGGTATCTTGAGAACGCGTGTCCTCTCTTTCCTCTCCTTTCCTTTCCTTCATCTTTATTAACCATCAGTGCAATGGAGACTGTGAGGGAGATTATTTTTTTTTTTTAGCACCATAAACTCAACCAAGTGGTATGTGTTTTTTTAAAAGAATGTTGGTTTTTGCTGATAATTTCCAGATCACAAATATTTAGAAGACTAGCATATGTATTTAGTACTTTGGGAAACTTTATTTATTTTGATTTTAATTTCATTTTTTGAGATGGAGTTTTGCTCTTGTTGCCCAGGCTAGAGTGCAGTGGTGTAATCTTGACTCACTGCAACTTCCTTCCGCCCCCTGGGTTCAAGCGATTCTCCTGCCTCAGCCTCCCAAGTAGCTAGGATTACAGGCATGCACCACCACACCCGGCTAATTTTGTGTTTTTAGTAGAGACGGGTTTCACCATGTTTATCAGCTGGTCTTCAACTCCTGACCTCAGGTGATCTGCTGACCTCGGCCTCCCAAAGTGCTGGGATTACAGGTGTGAGCCATGGTGCCTGGCCCATCCTTTGGGAAACTTTAAATTGATCAGTCTGTTTCTCTGTGTAAATCTAAGTTGTACTGATGTTTACATGGCATGTTTTTTAATCATGGGGATAATTTGTTCTAAGGAATTTTCACTTTTTCCAACTAACTTAGGACATTAGTATAATAAGGCTACATTTCCTGGGTAATGTGTCCTGAGAAGGAATTACTTTGATTTTCATTTGAAAATACAGTGGGTATATTACTTTTGCTATGTGATAGGCAGTAGTTCAATCTAATAATAACCAATTAAGCTTACGATTCAGAAAGAAAATATTCCTACACAATATTTTTTCATTAATGACACTTATAAAATCAGATGCTATTGAGTATGAAGAAATAAAGCCAATTAGTGTTATCTGATAATGTCAAGAATGTGTTCCACATGAGAGGATTTTTTAGAAAAAGAAAATTAGGAAAATTAATAGAACTAATAATTTCATTATAAATTCTAAAAATTACTTTAAAGATAATTTAACATATACATGTGTATGTATGTAGATAGATGAGAGAGAAAAATATTTCAGATAGTCAGAAAAGTGTAGAAACTTTTTTTTTTTTTTGAGACAGAGTGTCACTCCGTCACCCAGGCTAGAGTGCAGTGGCACGATCTCGGCTCACTGCAATCTCCGCCTCCCAGGTTCAAGTGATTCTCCTGCCTCAGCCTCCTGAGTAGATGGGACTACAGGCGCGTGCCACCACGCCTGGCTAATTTTTTGTATTTTTAGTAGAGACAGGGTTTCACCATGTTATCCAGGATGGTCTCGATCTCCTGACCTCGTGATCCACCCGCCTTGGCCTCCCAAAGTGCTAGGATTACAGGCCTGAGCCACCGCGTCCAGCCAGTGCAGAAACTTTTGATGAACACCTGTGTGGC
Source organism: Homo sapiens (assembly GCF_000001405.40). Classification (NCBI taxonomy): domain Eukaryota; kingdom Metazoa; phylum Chordata; class Mammalia; order Primates; family Hominidae; genus Homo; species Homo sapiens. Next base: position 69,527,056 of record NC_000012.12, read on the forward strand.
CACCCCATTGAACCCTGACATTTTTTCCCTGACTTTTCTAAGTGTATGGAATAACAATCAGTCATTTAAAGGTGATTTGAAAACCAATTATTGTGCTTTGCTCTGGCCAGCTTATTTTTACTCAATTCTTTTAGACCTAAGCATGGCACATTCTTTGGATTCACCCCTTAATGCCCTTAATAATCCCCTAATGCCACAGGTTTACTCTTAATGTATAGCAGTGAATCTTTCTTCATTTGTCCTCTTGTCTGAAGCAAGAATGGAGCAAAGTTTTTTTTTTTTTAATGATTTTTTTTTTTTTTTTTTTTTAAAGAGACAAGGTCTAGGTACATCGTCCAAGCTGGACTCTAACTCGTGGGCTCAAAGAATCCTCCTGCCTCAGCCTCCCAAGTAACTGGGATTCTTGTTGCGGGTCACCATGCCTGGCTTTAAGCAAATTTTTACATAAACAGCCTGGATTTACATGTTATTCCTATGGCACAAATATGGGATTTGTCGTTAATAACTGTATTCCAGTTTACTGCAGATTATAATAGTGAACAAGACAAACTGGGATTTGGAATCCTGAGGCTATCTCTGATTTAGACAAGTTAGTAACCACCGTGTGCTTTAACCTTTTTGATTGGGAAATTCTGAGAATTAACTAATGTAAATATGGGGCACATAGAAGTTGCTCAATAAAAGTTTTTAATATTACTAGCTTTCTTTCAAGTGGTTGAACTTGCTAAAATTCTGATTTCTAAATGAGTGGGAGCATTTCGGTACAAAAATATTCAAGGGTTCTCTCCAACTTTCCAAACAAAGCAGATTTGAACATTAAATTTCATCATCCAACTTTTGGAACCCCTGCTAATTGTTTTCTTTGTACTCTTGGTTTATTTTTATACCTAAGGTCTGATAGACACATAACAAATGCTTTATGTACCTTAAAGTAAGTGAAAATAGATTGTTCAGATGAAAGGTATGTGGATAAGTCAGTTTTGCAGCAATTCTAGAGAACTCTTGCCAGAACTGTATCTTTGTTTTGGTTTTCAGGGACTGTTAAATGTGATCACTGAGTCAGACTTGCTGTTTTCTCTGTCCCCTGGCTATCTCTCTTAAGACCCTGAAGTTTGCCAGCCATAGAATGTTTAAAAGGCAGAGGAGGGCTTAGCCTAGGGGGAGTTTGTTTATTTAAAGAAAAAATAATTAAGTTTAAACATCCTACCATGTCATAGCTAGTTTAGTCATGTTAAGAGTTAGTGAGTTCTTTTGATTGTTTCCTGGTGGTCTTGATATCTAAAGGTAACAGATAAATTTGAAGCAGTTAAACTTCCTGAGATTACCTGGAACCTTATAATATAATCCCAAACAGAAATCCCTAACAAAGTGGGAGGAAAGGGAATGCCATTTTTTTGCTGGTTTTTGTTTTTTGATGGGACTCTTTTAATTCAAATCTTCTACCACTCTGTTCTAGAGTTATGGTACAGATGATTTAAAAACAAAACAACAGTTTAAGAAAACCACACTTTGATAGATACATCTTCATTATTTCTTTGAAGTCGGGAACTTAAGAATCTTTTAAAAGGAACAGTGTAGCTCTACAGATGTTTAGACACAAAGAAAGATCTAAAAATTGATGATGTTATGTTTGAAGATTACCATCTCCCAAATTTATAATTTACTATTCTTTACAAATTCTTTGCCAGATAAGGAAAACTAAGACAGCTATTTTGGGCTTGCTCAGGACACTAGGGCAGATTTCTTTGATGAGATGACTTACAAAAACAAAGTCCTAAAGGAAGAGGAGAAATAAGCCAGAGAGAGAGATATCTCTTGTTACTGGCAGAGGGAAAAACAAGTCCTGAGATCCTGAAGTGAGAAGGTGCTTGATAAGTTTAAGGAAAGGAAAGATGCTGGTATAGCTTGAATGGGGTGAATAAGGGAGAGAGTGGTAGATGAGGTAAGAGAGATGGGGTGGGGGATAGCAGATCATGGTCTTTATGGGCCTTTGTAAGGAGTCTGGCTTTTAGACTACTGAGCTGGACTCAGTTGGAGAATTCGATTAGAAGAATGACATGATCTGACTTTCTTTTGAAAATGGCTAATCTCACTGACTTGTTGAGGTGAGCAAGAGAGAGACTGGGAGATCAGACAGGGAACTATTATACTAATGTGTATGCAAAATATTGTGGCTTGGACCATCGTAGTAAGAGTGGAAGTGGTAATAATATGAATATCTTTTGAAACTGGAGCTCCTAGGATGAACACTACATGGGTAGTGACATTTTAAAATACTAGAAGGTAGGCTGGGCATGGTGGCTCATTCCTGTAATCCCAGCACTTTGGGAAGCTGAGGCAGGTGGATCACTTGAAGCCAGAAGTTTGAGACCAGCCTGGCGAACATGGTGAAACCTCGTCTCTACTAAAAATACAAAAATTAGCCAGACGTGGTGGCATGTGCCTGTAATCCCAGCTACTCGGGAGGCTAAGACAGAATCACTTGAACCTGGGAGGCAGAGGTTGCAGTGAGCCGAGATTGTATCACAACACTCCAGCCTAGGTGACAGAGTGAGACCCTGTCTCAAAAATAAATAAATAAATAAATAAATAAATAGTACTGGAAGGTTAAATATTTCATCAATTTAAGTTAAAAAAATTCATCTGTTAATCATTTCAGTAAATCCTTATGAACACTTATAGCATGGAATTCATTGTTTTAGGTGCTTGAAAAATACCCGTAGGCTGGATGTGGCAGCTCACGCCTGTAATTCCAGCACTTTGGGAGGCTGAGGCGGGCGGATCACCTGAGGTCAGGAGTTCAAGACCAGCCTGACCAACATGGTGAATCCCTGTCTCTACTAAAAATACAAAAATTAGCCAGGTGTGGTAGAGCACGCCTGTAGTCCCAACTGCTAGGCAGGCAGTTGGATTGTTTGAACCTGGGAGGCAGAGGTTGCAGTGAGCTGCAGTCTTGTCACTGTACTCCAGCTTGGGCAACAGAGTGAGACTCCGTCTCAAAAGAAAAAAAAACAAAAACCAGTAAATAAAACCAACAAAAACCCCTTCTGTGGTTTACATTGTAGTTATAGGGGGAAAGTTGACAATAACAATAATAATTGCTTATAACAATTAATGATAATAATTGCTTACAACAATTAATGATAATAATTGTTTATAATAAATAAGCAATTTGTTGTATTCAGAATGTACTATATTAGGGCTACCATATATTTCTTTTTTTTTTTTTTCCAGTCTGTAAATGGCACTCCGGAGTTGCAAGGTCCCACTGGGTGACAGGAATTGAGGACTGAAGAGTTCTGGTCCCGTGGTACAAATAGCCAGTTTTCTATCTCTCCCACCTCAGTCTCAGCTCTGTTAATAATGTTTTTTATGAGAAGGTTGCTCAAGAAGTGCTTTGAGGCTGGGCATGGTGGCTTACACCTGTAATCCTAGCACTTTGGGAGGCTGAGATGGGAGGATTGCTTGAGTGCAGGAGTTCAAGACTAGCCTGGGCAATGTAGTGAGACCCTGTCTCTGCAAATAATAATTTAAAAAATTGGCTGGCCGTGGTGGCATGCACCTGTGGTCCCAGCTACTCAGAAGGCTGAGGTGGGAGGATCGCCTGAGCCCATGAGATTGAGGCTGCAGTGAGGCGTGATGGTGCCACTGCGCTTCAGCCTGAGCGACAGAATGAGACCCTGTCTCAAAGGGGAAAAAAGTGCTTTGAGAGTTCTTTCTGGTCACTACAATTTAGATAATTATTCTTAAAGAGTTTTGTTATAATATATTCAAGAGTAACATTCTTAATAACTTAACCTATATTTCAGAAATGACCATTAAGAAGTAGATGCCCAGATGCAAAAGTGATGAAACAGTCCATTTGTCATAAAGTAAGATGCAGCTGTGGCATGTCAACCAGCTTGGTAAGTGTGGCCAAATCTTTTTTTTTTTTTTTTTAACTTTGTAGTTATCTACTTTGAAAATCATTTAATTAAAAAATATGGTAGACAGGCTGGGCATGGTGGCTCATACCTGTACTCCCAACACTTTGGGAGGCCGAGGCAAGTGGATCACCTGAGGTCAGGAATTCAAGACCAGCCTGGCCAACATGGTGAAACCCTGTCTCTGCTAAAAATATAAAAATTAGCCAGGGATGTTGGCACGCACCTGTAATTTCAGCTACTTGGGAGGCTGAGGCATGAGAATCTCTTGAACCCAGGAGGTGGAGGCTGCAGTGAGCTGAGATTGCACCACTGCACTCCAGCCTGGGCAACAGAGTGAGATACTGTCTCAAAAAGAAAAAAAAAAAAGGTAGACATTAAAGTTACCTTGTATTTTTGGTTTTACTTTGTAGTACAAATTCTACCATACAGCTCTAAGAAGTGTATTTCTGTGATGTATCTTACAGCATAATTTTGGTCATTATGCTACTTGCATATTTTTAAAAATTAAATTTGTTTCGTATGTTTCTTCCTAGGATTAAAAGTATACCCTTCAGTATGGGGTGTCTTATTGGAGTGGTGAAAATATTATGGAATTAGATGATGTGGTCATGGTTACAAAACTTTGTGAATATGTAAAAAAAACACTGTTCAAAGAAATGCTTTTTACCTTATGTGAATTACACCGAAAAAAAAAAAGGACCCTTCAGAACATCAAGTCTTAGAAAGAGTATAAAATCTATTTGACTTAACAGCTGTTTTAGAATATAAAAATTGCCACATATCATCAGGTACCTAGCAAAATGACTTGATATTTAGAGAATAGAATAAGTATTTTTGTAATAAAAGTAATACATTTTGGTTTTTTATAACACATACTTTTGTTATTAGAGACCAACTGTCTCTCAAGCTTTCGTAATATCAAATGTCATAGCGTAATATTCTGAATGTACTCTGTTAGCATTTTGTAATTTTTCATTTTTAGTAGACTGTCTTGAAACTAACATTTCCACTTTCTACCTGAAATTTTTTTAGGAACAAAATTGTATCTGTTTTTCTCAGAAGAGAATTCCACAAGGTAAGAAATTGTAAATATAGTAATAAAACTAATATTGTTGAGTAAGGCTTAATTGCTCCTGATTTTTAAAAATTTGTTTCCATGTATTTATTTAATATCTTTTCTTTATTATGGGATTCTCACTAATTTATTAGCCACTGTTTTACTATGTCAGAATTTGCTAGCAAGACACAGATCATCTTGTTTGAATTTAGGATAAAAGGGAATGATAAAAGTAGTCACCTTTAAAATTCAAATACTGCTTCTCATGGTCAGAGCTTATTGAGTGGGTTTATCCTTTTTAGGAAAAAAGTTCTTCCATTGGGGCTCATTTATCTTTTACTCAGTGGACATTGCCTACGTGACTTGGAGGAGTAGAGGGTTCATAGGAGCTCTCTTAGGGGCTGGTAGATTTGTTTGTTTGTCTGGTAAGGGTTGCATCCTCCAGAGGGGAGGAATGCTGTGTCCTTGCATGGCAGAAGGTGGAGGGCAAGCAAAACTAATGCTGAGCAAAGCTTCTTTTATAAACGCCTTAATTAGGTCATGAGGAAGGAGCCCACATTACCTAGTCACCTCCTAAAGGTCCCGTCTCTTAATACTATCACATTGGCCATTAAATTTCAGCATCTGAATTTTAGAAGGGACACATTCAAACTATAGCAGGAAGGGAATTCACACATCTGCTGAAAGTGAAGCCAAGATTAGGGCTTTTTAAAATAAGTATTAATTTATATATCAGCACTTAAGTATTTATAAGATCTTTGGTGGGAAGACCAGAAAGTACTGAAGTTGATATTGACTTGTTATTCTATTCATTGTTGAATAATCCCGCCATCCTTTTTAAAAACTAAGAGAATTATACATCAGGTAACATAGTTCCTTTCTCCAGTTTCTTTAATTTTGAGTCTTTTGTATGGCATAGTAATTTTCTTATTCTTACTTTGATGTGTTACCACACTGCATAAATAGAATAGATAGTATTCTCATTTTACAAATGAGGAAACCAGTAGTAGGATTGGCTTTAGGTTCTTTTACTAATCTTATACTGCCACCCTATCAGCTGATACTTTCCTGTATATAAAAGGTATAACAACTAGGATAGTCTTAACTTGAAAGAAGTTGTTTCTAACCAGGAAGAACCTCATAGCCTGAGAAGTTTAAAAAACACACATATACAGACAAAAATATAAGCAGTGAATACTGTAGGCCATAGTCAAAGGAACATTTATTAATGTGGAAGGTCCACCTCTGTTATATAGAAAAGTATTTCAGAAGTATTTCCAATTTAGAATGAATGCCATAAATTTAAGTTGTCTAGGTTTTTTTTTTTTGAGATGGTGTTTTGCTCTTGTTGCCCAGGCTGGAGTGCAATGGCGCGATCTTGGCTCACCACAGCCTCCGCCTCCTGGGTTCAAGTGATTTTCCTGCCTCAGCCTCCTGAGTAGCTGGGATTACCGGCACGCACCACTGTGCCTGGCTAGTTTTGTATTTTTAGTAGAGACGGGGTTTCTCCATGTTGGTCAGGCTGGTCTCGAACTCCCGACCTCAGGTGATCCGCCTGCCTTGGCCTCCCAAAGTGTTGGGATTACAGGTGTGAGCCACCACGCCTGGCCATATTTCTAGTTTTGAGCATGCCTGTTTACTTAAAGGTTATGTGTCTAGTTTTGATGGGTGGGAAATTAGAATTTCATCGGGGTGATGAAATGAGCAATTTGATCTTGTGTTTTTCAGAATATAGTAATCCCCTCCCCGCCAAATTATTTGTTTGTAGTGTGAAAATCAGGTATACTGGATTATAAACCAGTATCTTCCGTCCCAAAAGGCTTAATTTGGTTCAGACACTGCTTTATTGTTAGAGGCAGAGATTTAGATTGTTTTTGAGGAATCCAGTGCTATTCTAGGTCATTTTAGGTCTGAAGGGTCTTCAGATATGTAATAGTAACCACTTGGCTTACACCTAGCTTACATTTAAGCCTGTGGAAAGACTGAGAGAGATTTCACATGTAGGTGGTGGAATATGGAAATGCAGATTGATAGTCTACTTGGAGTTATGGGTCTTTGAAGTTTAGCAGTCTTTTTGTTGTTCAAAAATACACTATGACATTAAAAAGACGTGGGTCTTCTGACCCTGATGTCTTATTGTGTATTAGGGCTTCAGGTGTTACAGTTCATTTTAACTGAGGTTGAACGTAATACACAAAAATGTGGATTGTTTTATAGTTTATAAAAGAACAGTTATTTTAGGTACCTTTTTGTTTCATGTTCCACTCTTAGAGTTCCTTATTAGCTGGCTTGATTTTATTTTTTCAGCTACGTGCTTTTAGATTAAAAAACAAAAAAACAAAATTCAGAATAGGTTGAAACTCAACACAAATTGCTGCCACGTAACAAAAGTGCTGATCAAGTTAAATCAACCCCTGTAATGTGTACTGAAAGGAAAACCTCTCCTCTCTCCCCCAATTTGAAGAACAAGCATTTTCCCTGCCAAGAAGTACTGACTTTAAATGGACCAGCTGTCCATATTAGGAGTACAGGGTTGCTAAGGTGACCATGGCTGTTTGGAGAAGAATGCAGCTGAGAGGGCAAGTTCTCGATGTGTGAGCTGAGGGAAGGAATGTGGTGTGATTATGCATCATTCCTCCTAATCACATGCTCACAAAGTGCTGTGTGGGCAGCATGTAGAAACTACAAGTCTGAGCGCTGGAGCTTGTGTGTGGTTAAAAGCATTTTGTTTTCATGTAAGCCACAGGCTTACAGTTTAGATGAAAAAGGTCTGCCTTGTATGTATGTGTGTGTTTGGGGTTAAAGTTGGGGACGGTGCTTTGATGGTAGATGAAATGGCAATGAATTTATTTTGCTTGATAGATACATATTTTTATTGTTTTTTAAATTATTTATCTTGGAATAAATGTCATCTTTCCAGTTGATCCTTTTCAGTCATATATACAGTATTAATAGTCCCAAGTAAATGATGTGTTCCTTGTAATTGTGTATTTCTTTGGCACTGTAATTTCAGAATGATTTGGAAATTCCTAAAAATGTGTTGTCTACTTGTTCCATTTCTTCTTTTTAAAAAACTGAGTGTTTTTTCCTCAAGGCATCCAAAGATAGGTTCTGGGCGTATCTGACAAATAAGTAGCCAATTTGGTAAAAATAATGATTCAAGGACAGTGAGAATGGTCAAACTAACATCCCATTTACCTGAGATGCTGTTAAGATTTTACTGTGGGCACCATTACTAATACTTGAAATGAGATCTAGATACAGGCGTTGATGTAGATACTTAAATGAAATGTGTTATTTTTGTTTTTTATCCTTTTTTGTTAATCCCTACAGTGATGTGTTGATCTTAAATGAGGGCGTAAATGTGATGTATTTAAGATGTGAAGTAGCTTGAACAGTGGCAGCCCTGTATTACATGAGCATCATATTATTTTTCATAATCAGATAGTCTCTTTGCTTTGAAATGATTGCTGTTAAGTGATTAATTTATAAAATATGGAGGGAAATGAAAGGATTCAAATAATTTGACCTCTTGGGCTCAAGCAATCCTCCCACCTAGAATATGGCTAATTTTTATAAATGTTCCATGTGTATTTAGAAAGAATGCAGCTTTTTCGGTTATTAAGTACAGTGTTATATTTATGTCTAAGAACTTGTTAATTGTTCTCTTCATATCTTCTCTGTCTTGGTTTTGTTTTGGATTCGGGTTTAGTTTTATTTGGGGACTGATTTATGAGTTTCTCTAGTAAGAAAGACATGGTAATTAATGTCTCTCACCATGGCTATGGGTTTGTCAGTTTCTCCTTATAGATGTGTTAATTTTTGCTTTATTTATTTTGAATGTATGCTATTAAGTACATTAATAATAAGCCAAAATAATTAAACAATTTAGAATTAGAATTGTTTTATCTGTTTGTTGAATTGAATTTTTATCATTATGAAAGGGCCCTCTATCTGAACACACTTTTAGCCTTACAGTTTTTTTTTAATTGTTGTTATTGCTGTTTTCTTGGATTAATATAGCTAGTATAGTTTTCTTTTGGTTACTGTAGTATTTTCATTCTTTTTTTTTTTTTTTTTTTTTTTTTTTTTTTTTTTTTTTTGGAGACGAAGTCTTACTCTGTTACCCAGGCTGGAGTGTAGTGGCATGATCTCAGCTCACTGCAACCTCCATCTCCTGGGTTCAAGGAATTCTCGTGCCTCAACCTTCTGAGTAGCTGGGATTACGTGTGTGCACCACCATGCCTGGCTAATTTCTGTTTTTTAAGTAGAGATGGGGTTTCCCATTTTGGCCAGGCCAGTCTCGAATTCCTGACCTCAGGTGATCGCCCGCCTCAGCCTCCCAAAGTGCTGGGATTACAGGCGTGAGTCCCCGCACCCGGCCAGTATTTTCATTCTTTAGTTTTTCATGTATTTTGATTGGAGTTTTGTAAATAGAATAAGGTTGAGTTTTATTTTTGTTCTGAATGACAATCTTTATTTTTTAACTGGAGAACTTTAGTCAATTGTGTTACCGATAGATTTAGTTTTTTTTTTTTTAATTTTTTTTTTTCTTTTTTGAGACAAGATCTCACTCTGTTGCCCAGGCTGGAGTGCAGTGGCACGATCCTTTAGCCTCGATCTGCTGGACTCAACGATCCTCCCACCTCAGCCTCTCAAGTAGCTGGGACCACAGGCATGCGCTACTGTGCTGGGCTGATTTTTTAATTTTTTAGAGATGTTATCCCACTATGTTGCTTAAGTTGGTCTTGAATTCCTGGACTCAAGTGTTCCTACTGCCTCAGCCTCCCAAAGTGTTGGAATTACAGATGTAAGCCACCGTGCCCAGCTCTGATTTACGTGTATTTCTGTCCCCTTCTGTGGTTTTTCTATTTATCCAATTCTTCCTCTCATTCTTGCCAGTCTTTTGTGTTGAGTTGGACATATATATTTGTCTCATTCCATCTCCTCTCCATACCTTGCATGCATGTATACTTGTTTATAATTAATATATTATTTATTCTTTTAGTGGTTGCTCTGGCTATTTTAACATGCTTTTCTTAGGAAAGTCCAATTAATCAGTATCTTTAACCTATTCCTGAATAATGTAGTAACTTAGCATGCTCTGGTTGTCCTCCTCCCAACCTGTAACAGTGTTGTCTGTTATCTTAGTTTTGGCATATTCTTCTTATGCACACATACAGAATTTTAGACAAATTACTGTTTTAGGTAGTAAACCTTTGTTTAAATTTATTTACCTAATTACTGTTTTCTTGGCTTATTGTTCCTTTTTGGATCTGAGACCTTTCTTCTATGATAATTTTTTTTTTTACCTGAGGTACGTTCTTTAGAATTTCCTTTAGTGAAGATCCTTTGGTGAAACAGACACTTTTTTCTTTGTTTAAAGATGTCTTTATTTCATCTTCATTCTTGAAAGGTAGTTTCTCTGTGTGTAGAATTCTGTTTTCTCATGATATTGAAGACATTATTCCAGTACTTTGACTGCTAGTATTGCTGTTGAAAAGTCTTAATTGCCCTTCCTTTGTAAGTAATAACCCTTTTATTTGGCTGTGTTAAGCCTTTTTTTTTCCTTCCCATTTAGTGTTTTGCAGTTTTGTATAATGTATTGAGGGCGTTATTTTTTTCATTCCATCATTTTATTTTTTGTAATCCCACTTGGGATTCTTTGGGCTTCCTGGATCTGAGGATAATAATAATGTCTTTGAATAATTGTGGAAAATTCTTAACCATTATCTCTTTGAATAATGCCTCTTATTTTCTCCTTCTATAACTCTAATTAGACATATAGTCTATTTTTCATGTTACTTATGCCTTTTCATCCTTTTTCGTCTCCACAAACTCATTTAAGAGCTGGCTTATAGTTATAAATTCTTGCAGGAGATTTTCTTCTTTCTACCATCATCAAGATCAAGCAGGCAAGTTTACTTGCTGTCATCTTCTGCAAGGTAGGTTTACTGCTCATTCATTTGTACTTTGTGGATTTTGGGATTTGCAACTGTATGGAAGGCAGTCTTGATCTATATAGTCTGTCTCCCGCAGTCTGCAGTTTTCTAAGCAGCATTATGAAATTACCTTAAAGTCAAGAGCCACCTTTCGTAGCTTTTTACATTTGTGCCAAAATAGGAAAATGTTTAATAATAAAATTAAAAAAACAAATTTTATATATATATATATATATATATATAGCATTGCAGATTATATATATATATACATATATATATAAAGCATTGCAGATTCCAGCAGTAGAGCCAGTCTGGACATCTAACCTACCATGTTGCTAGAAATAGAATTCCTTGATCCATTTCAAATAACATACAACTTACGTAAGGTTTGTATGAGAAACATAATACAGAATGCTAATCGGCGGTCTCCCATTAACAAAAAAAGGCCCTGGCCTTAAGTTTGGTAAATTCATGCCTTTTTATATGTTTAAGCTAAAATAAAATGATTCATGCCTTTTTATATGTTTAAGCTAAAATAAAATGATTCATGCCTTTTTATATGTTTAAGCTAAAATAAAATGTTTAAGGTAAGGAGTGTGTGTGGGGGTGGTATGTGTGTTTTAATTTCCTGCCTTATCCAACTAACTTCATGTCCATTTGAATTAAGATGGATTCTATTGGACTTCCTCTTTTATTCCTCACATTATACATTTGTCACCTTTTTCTCTTTGCAACAAAAATGGCATGTGTTAAGTTTATATTTTTAAAAATTTAGGTTCCCTTATATTATTCAGATGCATTATTTTCAAAACACATTCATAAAAAGTGATAATACCCTATCTATAATTATATTAATCTTTCAACTTCATAGTCGTAGTCTATTCTCCATGAGTTTATTTCTATATTTTGTTATGCAAATTCTCCACAAAATAACATAACATTTAGTTACACAGAGGCCCTCCTAGATGCCATGACACCCCGGTAGCAAGAGCACACCAAGAACCCAAATCTTGGTTTCTAATACAAGTTGATTATCCTTATCCTTATCCTTATCCTAAATGCTTGGGATCAGATGTGTTTTGGATTTCAAGGTTTTTGTTTTGTTTTGTTTTGAGACAGAGTCTCACTCTGTTGCCCAGGCTGGAGTGCAGTGGCATGATCTCAGCTCACTGCAACCTCTGCCTCCTAGGTTCAAGTGATTCTCCTGCCTCAGCCTCCCGAGTAGCTGGGATTACAGGCACACATCACCATGCCTGGCAAATTTTTTGTATTTTTAGTAGAGATGGGGGTTTCACCATGCTGGCCAGGCTGGTCTTGAACTCCTGGCCTCTTGATCTGCCCACCTTGGCCTCCCAAAGTGCTGGGATTACAGGTGTGAGCACCGTGCCCAGTTGGATTTCAGGGGGTTTTTTGGATTTCAAAGTATTTGCATATACATAATGAGATATCTTGGGGATGGGACTCAAGTCTAAACACAAAATTTATGTTTCATATATGCCTTTACACATAGCCTGAAGGTGATTTATACAATATTTTAAATAATTTTGTGCACGCATCATGTGAGGTCAGGTGTGAAATTTTCCACCTGTGGTGTCATGTTGGTGCTCAAAAATTCTCAGAATTTTCCAGTTAGGGATGCTGAATCTGTACCCTTCTCCTTTAAAAAGGACCAGGGTTCCTTGGAGAAATGGCTTAATCTAGGACTAGGGCAAGAAATAGACAAGATCCACTTTGGGAGGCCAAGGCGGGCAAATCACGAGGTCAGGAGTTCGAGACCAGCCTGGCCAACATGGTGAAACCCCGTCTCTACTAAAAATACAAAAAATTAGCTGGGCAGGGTGGCGGGCGCCTGTAATCCCAGCTACTCGGGAGGCTCAGGGAGGAGAATCACTTGAACCCAGGAGGTGGAGGTTGCAGTGAGCCGAGATTGTGCCACTGCACTCCAGCCTGGGCGACAGTGCGGGACTCCGTCTCAAAAAAATAAAAATAAACACTGGGTGTGGTGGCTCACGCCTGTAATCCCAGCACTTTGGGAGGCCGAGGCGGGTGGATCATGATGTCAGGAGATTGAGACCATCCTGGCTAACACAGTGAAACCTCGTCTCTACTAAAAATACAAAAAATTAGCTGGGTGTGGTGGTGCGCGCCTGTAGTTCCAGCTACTAGGGAGGCTGAGGCAGAGGAGTGACATGAACCCAGGAGGCAGAGCTTGCAGTGAGCCGAGATGGCTCCACTGCACTCCAGCCTGGACGACAAAGCGAGACTCCATCTCAAAAAAAATAAATAAAATTAAAAAAAATTAAAAAATAAAAATAACAAAATAGACAAGATCAGCTTAGAACATCTTGTAGTGCCAAAAAAAAAAAGTAAAGAAGGGCTTTAACAAAAAACCCACAAAATGGGACTATGTCAAAGGGGCATAGGAGTCACCTAAAAGAGCTAACAGTGATCAAAGTTGGAATAATTTGAAAAAGAAAATAAGTAAAGTATAAAGTAGTATTGAATTATAACTCAGAGTATAAAATAAATATCCACGGGCTGATACTGGTATGAATAAATGATTGAATAAATGAATAAATGATTGAATAAATAAGTAAATGGAGAAGAGACAAATCTGTACAGAAGAACTCCAAATAATGTATGTCAATACTCCACTTTCCTCATGGTGAAACACAACTCCCTAATCCTTAAGTGTGGGCTGTGCATGCCTTTCTTCCAAGAAGTACAGTACTTCCAAGAAGTGCAGAAGAGTTCGGGGAGAAGTAACTTCACAGTGGAGAAACCTGACAGCCAGGTAGGTTGTCAGGGGTAACATCAACAGTGATAAGTCATGTTGATAGTGTGTTTCAAGGGCTATGTTGTGATAAAAGTGGCACTTTATCTCTGTGATCCTCCTGTCCAAATCCCATACTCCCAGTCTAATTATGAGAAAAGCATCAAATTCCAAGAGAGGAGAGGCATTCTACAAAATACTTTACAGGTGCTCCTGAAAATGGTCAGGATTATCAAAAACAAGAAAAATCTGAAAAACCATTACTGCCAAGAGGATCCTTAAGAGACATGATGACTAAATGTAATGAAGTTTGTTTTTTTAAAAAACCACAAAACTGAGTCCCTCAAGAATTTTTTTAAACCTAGAAGTCACATACTTTGCAACTTTTATTAGATTTTAGATCGCATCCCACTCTTGAATGCATATTTCCCCGGGAGCAACCCATGTTTTAAAAAATTTAGTAAAGGAGGATATCAGATAACCAGTTCTTACAAACAGGCCCAACATTTATTATGTTGCATTTGCTGCCATCTGAAGGCCTACTCACACAAATGGTAGAAAGTTGTGTTTATTAAAATCTTAACTTCTTTAATATTTCAAATTTTTAAACTTCAGGGTAAACAAAATTCTTATGAAAATACTGACACTGTACCTTAGAATGTATAATTTAACTGAAGGAAGCGTGTGTATGTGTGTTTGGCCTACTCTGTAAAAATAAAGAATATAGCATTAATATTATTAGGCCCAGTTAGTCTATTCTAGTATAGTTACTGGTACAAAAGTAACACTGGGCCAGGTGCAGTGGCTCACACCTGTAATCCTAGTACTTTAGGAAGCTGAGGCAAGTGGATCACTTGAGCCTGGGAGTTTGAGACCAGCCTGGCAACATGGCGAAACTCCTTCACTATTAAAAATACAAAAATTAGCCACATGCGGTGGCATATGTCTGTAGTCCCAGCTACTCGGGAGACTGAGGCAGGATGGTCACTTGAGCCCTGGAGGTGGAGGTTGCAGTGAGCCGAGATTGCACCACTGCACTCCAACCTGGGCGACAGGGTGAGACCCTGTCTCAAAAAAAAAAAAAAAAAAAAAAGTAACACTGTATTATTGTAATTCAGGGGAAGTAGTTTTGATATAAATCTAATAACTTTATGTAAAAAGTCTTCTTATTCTTTGATGTAATTCTAACAAATTTTTTATAATTTAAAGGGAGATACTGGTTTCAAATAAGTTATTTCTCCATTTTCAGAATAATTTTTCCTCACACACTCGAAAGATGATTTTATTATCTTTTTATTATTAAAGCAGATATTATCAGGGCCATATATTAAGAGCATTTATTGCCTCTACAACCAGATATAGGTGGCGGGGGGTTATGTTCTGAATATTTTTCTTTACTGACAGACATACTTAGTATAACAAACATATTAATTTGCAGCATTCTAATTAAAAAGTGAAAATGTGCGTGCTGTCAGACCCAATCTTAAACAGGTTCAGCCTTATCAACTAGAGGAATTTAAAACCTTACTTCATGATGCCTTTGTCTTTGATTTATAGTTGGTCGTTCGTATCCATAGGTTCCACACCTGCAAATTCAATCAGCCACAGATTGAAATTATTTGAAATAGAAAGCAGTATAAAAAATATTACAAAATACAGCATAACAACTATTTAGATAGCATTTGTAAGTAATCTAGAGGTTATTTAAAGTATGCAGGAAAAAAGTATAAAGAAGAAAAAAGACTAGCTCTAAAATTCTTTATTTTTTCAAACAGATTTTTAATGAATCAGGTTATGTAAAGAAAGAAAATATTTAAACTAATATTGTTTGTAGCTAAACCATTATTTCATTGGTCTGTGATGTTCCAAACTTGTACCTTCCAACCATATGTAACCATGTTTCTATTTTCGCTGAAATAACTCAGTAGACCAAAGATGTTGGTGTTGGAATTGCATATGGCAGATAGTTCAAGTATATTCAAAGTAAATTCTAGTTAATATTAAGTACCTTTTAATGTTAGAAATTAAAAGAGCTTAGGAAAAGCTGTAGGATGAGAAATCCAATATAAACAGTTGTTTCAATCCTAGAGTATCTTCACCTTCACCCAGGCTCATCCCAGGACTGCAAAACGTCAAAGAATGAGCTAGCTTGGAGGAAATAATGTGGCTTGGATAATGACTCTTAGGCAGTTAACTTACCTAGATAGTGTCTTCAGGAGTTACATCTGCTATAATAACTATAATGCAAATGACAGTTTTTGAATCTATAGTACAAAAAGGAAAACATCAGGTACTACCTCAGTCTTATGAGTATACTTGCTCACATTGATAACAACATGGTAGCATTGCTTCTAAAAGAAATTTTGTGATACTGTATCTTAAATTCCATATTTTTCATGAGATAGCTGTCAGTTTACAGACAAATCTAAGTGATAATTTTGAGCCCCATTTTTACAAGTCATCTCAATAAGTAACTATTAAGTAACATATGTTAATAAGTAAAAATGTAAAAGCATTTGGTTGTAGTTTTATTGATATGTTTGCACATTGCAGAAATTCAGGAACAAATTTTATGAATACTTATGTTGCTATTTTTAAACAATATCTGAGATTATTCATTCAACTAAAACTTATTAAGCATTTAATATCTGTCTGGCATTCTTCAGGCACCAAGGATATTTCGTTGAACAAAACAAAATCTTTGTCACTATGGAGTTTACGTTTTGTGGTGGCATTGGAGTGAAGAGCTAGGGAATAAAAAAACAAGTCAATATGTAGTATGCCACTTGGTGGTAAGTCATTTGGAGAATGATGTAGTAGGGAAAGAGGAAAAGGGTGTAGCATCATGGGCTAGTGGGTAAGGGTTTATCTATTTCATATGTAGTGTGCTCAGGAAAATTCTTCAATAAATTGATTTGTGAGCAAAAACCTGAAGCAAGTGAAGGAGCAAGCTATGCTGATACCAGATAGAAAAGCATTCCAGGTACAAAGAACAGTAGTTGCAAAGGACCTGAGATAGGAACATAATTAGTGTATTCTAGAAACAGCAAGGAGGCCACTGTGGCTGGAGCAGAGTATGGAGAGAGAAGAATTTTAAGGTACATGATCAGTAGTGGAACAGGAGAGGCAGAAAATGATACTAAAAAATTAGGATCTCATAGAGACCATTGAAAAATCCTTAATTTTTATTCTCAGAGGAATAGGGGGAGCCATTGCAGGCCTTTGTCAGGATAAATTGTGAACCACTTTGAAGTGGACAAAAAATGACAAATGGGTGTCCTGTCTAGCTCAGCCATTGAGTTTATCTCTGTCTCATTTTGTGGGCAGGGTCGGGGGGGTGGGGAGGCTTTCTTTTTTTTTTTTTTAAGAGTACTGGAACTTAACAGAAAACTTCTTAAAAATGCAATTGAATCATAAACATTGATGTAAAAATCCTCAACAAAACCAAATTCAGCAGCATATCAGTGGGATTATATACTATGATCAAGTGCGTCTTATTCCTGGAATGCAGGGATGGTTCAACATATGAAAATTGTTCAATGTAATATACACATTAAAAGAATGAATGGGAGAAAACCACATGATTGTGTCAATTGATGCAGAAAAAACATTTGACAAAATTCAGCATTCTTTCATGATTTAAAAAAACACTAAAACTAGAAGTAAAAGGAGCCAGGTGCAGTGGTTCATGTCTGTAATTTTAGCACTTTGAGGAGGCTGAGGTGGGTGAGTCACTTGAGATCAGGAGTTTGATACCAGCCTGGCCAACATGGTGAAACCCCATCTCTACTAAAAATGTAAAAATTAGCTGGGCATAGTGGTGCGCACCTGTAATTCCAATTACTCAGGAGGCTGAGGCAGGAGAATCACTTGAACCCGGGAGGAGGGGGTTGCAGTGAGCCGAGATCATGCCACTGCATTCCAGCCTGGGTGACAGCAAGACTCCATCTCGGAAAAAAAATTAATAATAAATAAATAAATAAAAGGAAACTATTTCAACGTAGTAAAAGCCATATATGAAAAATACAGTGAATGTCATATTCAGTGGTGAAAGACTGAAAAGATTTTCCTCTAAGATCAGGAACAAGGCAAGAATTCCCACTTTCACCAATTCTATTAAATATCATACTGGATATTCCATCCAGAGCAATTAGGCAAGAAAAAGAAAAGGCATCCAAATTGGAAAGAAGTAAAGTGGTCTCTGTTTATAGATGATATGATCCTGTACATAGAAAACCCTGAAGAGTCAGCATTTTCATCTAACAACAATATGAAAAAGAAATTAAGAAAACAATTTCATTTACAATAGCATCAAAAAGAATAAAATACAAATAACCAAAGAAGTGAAAGATTTTTACAATGAAAACTATGAAACATTGCTCAAAGAAATTAAATAAATGATAAACATCTGATTTTCATGGATTGGAAGTCTTCATATTGTTAAGATGTGAATACTAAAAATAATCTACAGAATCATGCCATTCCTATCAAAACCACAATGATGAGTTTTGCAAAATTAGAAACGCCCATTCTGCAATTCATATGGAATATCAAGGGACTCTCAATAGCTAAAACAATCTTGAAAAAGAAGAAGAAAGCTGGTGACTCACACTTCCTGATTTAAAAACTTAACTACAAAGCTACAGTAATCAAACAGCATGGTATTGGCATAAATTTAGGCAGACATATAGCCCAATGGAATAGAGCAGAGAACCCAGAAATAGACCGATGTTGTGGCTCACACCTGTAATCCCAGCACTTTGGGAGGCCAAGGTGGGTGAATCATGAGGTCAGGAGTTCAAGACCAGCCTGGCCAACATGTTGAAACCCTGTCTCTACTAAAAATACAAAAGATTAGCTGGGTGTGGTGGCAGACGCCTGTAATCTCAGCTATTCGAGAGGCTGAGCAGGAGAATTGCTTGAACCCAGGAGATGGAGGTTGCAGTGAGCTGAGATCGTGCCACTGCACTCCAGCCTGGGCGACAGTGTGAGACCCTGTCTCAAAAAAAAAAAAAAAAAAAAAAACAAAAACAAAAACCCAGAAATAAACACTTGCATATATGGTCAAATAATTTTTGACAAGGGTGCCAAGACTATTCAATGGGAAAGGAACAGTCTCTTCAACAAGTGATGCTGGAGAAACTGGATATCTACATACAAAATAATGGAGTTGGATCTTCACCTAGCACCATATACAAAAATTAACTTAAAATGAATCAAAAGTATACAACTCTTGTAAGGAAATGTAGGGCGAATGCTTCATGACATTGGATTTGGCAGTGGTATCTTGGATGTAACACCAAAGGCACAGACAATACAAGAAAAAACTTCTGAAACTCAAAACCAAAAACTAATTTAAAAATGGGCCAAGGACTTGAATAGACATTACACCAAAGAAGATATACAAAGGCCAGTAAGCATATGAAAAGATGTTTAACATCACCAATTATTAGAAAAATGCAAATCAGAAATACAGTGAGATACTACCCTCACACTCATTAGGATGGCTACTTTTTTTTTTGGAGACAGAGTCTCGCTGTATTGCTCAGGCTGGAGCGCAGTGGTGTGATCTCGGCTCACTGCAACCTCCCCCTCCCAGATTCAAGTGATTCTTACGTCTCAGCCTCCCAAGTAGCTGGGACTATAGGTGTGCACCACCACACCTGGCTAATTTTTGTATTTTTATTAGAGGCAGGGTTTTGCTATGTTACCTGGGCTGGTCTTGAACTCCTGGCCTCAAGTGATCTGCTCACCTTGGCCTCCCAAAGTGCTGGGATTACAAGCATGTGACACCATGCCCGGCTAATTTTTGTATTTTGAGTAGAGATGGGGTTTTACCCTGTTGTCCAGGCTGGTCTTGAACTCCTATCCTCAAGTTTCACCTGGTTCAGCCTCCCAAAGTGCTGGGATTACAGGTGTGAGCCACTGCACCTGGCCAAGGATGGCTACTATTTTTTAAAAAATAGAAAGTAACAAATGTTGGTGAGGACGTGGAAAAATTGGAAACCTTATGCACTGTCGGTGAGAATATAAAATGGTACAGTTTCTGTGGAAAAGAGTATGGCTGTTTCTCAAAAAATTAAAAACAGAATTACCATATGATGCAGCAATTCAACTTCTGAGTATACCCAAAAGAACTGAAGGCAGGGTCTTGAGGTATTTGTACACCCATATCTATTTGTACAAAGTAGCCGAAGGTGGAAGCAACCCAAGTGTTCATTGACAGATGAATGGATAAGTAAAATGTGGTATATACATGCAGTGGAATATTATTCAGCCTTAAAAAGGAAGGAAATTCTGTAATATGCTACAACATGGATGAACCTTGAAGACATTATGCAAAGTGAAATAAGCCAGTCACACAAAGACAAATGCTATGTGATTCTACTTATGTGAAGGAGGTAGTATAGTCAAAATCAGAGAGAAAGTAGAATGGTTTTGTCAGGGGATAGGGGGAGGAGGGAGTTACTGTTTAACGGCCGTGGAGTTTCAGTTTTACAAGATGAAAAGAAGCCTAGGCAACATAGTGAGACCTCGCCTCTACAAAACATTAAAAAGTTAACTGCACGTGGTGGGATGTACCTGTGGTCCTAGCTAATTGAGAGGCTGAGATGAGAGAATCCCTTGAGCCTAGGATGTCAAGGCTGCAGGTGAGCTATGGTCACATCACTGCCCTCCTGCCTAGTTGACAGAGTGAGACCCTGTCTCAAAAAGAAAAAAAGAATTACGAGATGGATGATGGATAGTTAAGATGGTAAATTTTATGTGTATTTTACCACAATAAAAAAGTAGAAAATGCAATTAAATCTTATTCATAGAAATAAATATAAATTATACCCAGTGGAATGCAGTTGATTACTGCCCTGTGAATATGCCTGTTTTGCATCTATTTGTAAATTTCTTTCAGAACTCCTTATTCCCTGTGTATGTGTAGTTCTTGGAATGTTCCGAACCAGTTGTAACATGTTACTAATTCCATTATTAATGAGTTAAATTGTATCTTTGACATATGTTTGTTTTACTGTTTTTTCAAAGTCATGAATTTTACCATTTTTAGAAAAATGTATCCATTAATACTTTTTTTTTTTTTTTTTTTTTTTTTTGTGAGTCAGGGTCTTGCTTTCTCACCCAGGCTAGAGTACAATGGCACAGTCATGGCTCACACAGCCTCTGACTTCTGGGCTCAAGGGATCCTTCCATCTCAGCCTCCTAATAAATAAGTAGCTAGGACTACAGGTGCATACCACCACATCTGGCTAAGTTTTTTTTATTATTATTTTTTAGAGATGGGTTCTTGCGATGTTGCCCAGGCTGGTCTTAAACTCCTGGCCCCAAGTGATCTACCCACCTTAGCCTCCCGAGTTGCTGAAATTACAGGCGTAAGCCACTGCACCAAGCTCCTGTATTAATACTTTTTAACAGAATTAATCTGGTTGCTGTGTTGATAAAAGACTAGAGCAGGACAATCAGAGGCAAAGACCAATTAGAAGGCTGTTGGAAAAATTCATAAAGAAATGTTGGTAACTTGGACCAGAGAAGTAATAGTTTCGAAATGGTAAGCAGTAGTTGAACTTGGATATATTTTGAAGATACATCTGAAAGGATTGATGGATTGGATATGGGATGTGAGAGAGTAAGGTGTGAAGGATGACTGCAAGATTTTTGGATATTAATCTTAATGAAATGTGTAAGTAATTCCTTCTCAAACATTTTTAGGTTGGTAACTTTTATTTTTGATTCTTAGGAGTTTAGTTGGTTTGACTAAGAAATGTAAAAGCTGTTGATCGTGGTTCTTTTCTCATAAGGTATCTTTTCCACTGATTATAGTGTAATATATAATTACTGTATTGAAAACATCAGTAACAGCTGCTTAAATCAGGGTTCTGGCAGGAACCCTGTAATGGAAAAGAATTTAATAAAGGGATTAGTTACACATTATGGGCAGGTTAAGGGAAATCAGCAAGTGATATTGGCCAGGTTTGCTGGGAACACCAGGCTGTTAGGAACAGCTCTTAACACTCCTAGGTGTCCAAAAGGGGACAGAGAGAAGAAGTGGTTACCTGAATCAGCAAGAGCTATAAGTATGTGAGAGAGCTGCCTAACAGGGGCCATTACTAGAACCTCAGTAAGGAAGGGAACCACAGCCAATCTGGTCTGCTGGTGCCTCCATGCAGGTGAGGCTCCTAGGGTGCAGAGTAGAGTAGAGAAGGTAAGAGAGTGGCTTTGGAGGGTCAAATGGAAAATATACAGCATTACAGATAACTTTTAAGCCCTACCTTAAAACAAACAAATACACTTATGTGCTTCAAGTTTAAAAATAGAGAAATGAAGAACATAATTATTTAGTGGTAGAAAGTTATAAAAACTCAGTTGGGTAGGTTTTAATGACATTAAACAGAATTAGTACAGCTAAAAATCAACCATAAAATTTCGTGAAGTCTTTAGAGGTTTTATATCATATTAAATGTTTTACTTTGGACTTACAAAGTTAAAAATGCTTTTTATCTTTTTTATGTGTTTTACTTAGAATTAATTGAATATAATATTTTATAACTTCAGAAATAATAACTTAAGAAATATGCTTTATATTTAAGTATTTAAAAGCTGTTTTGTTGTGTCTTTTTGTTCCCTTTAATGTAAAGTAGTTCAGATTTAGTTTAGTCCTTGAAATTTATTTCAATTGAAAAAAAAGCTCAAATCATCACGTCTAACTTTGTTGTGGTTAATTTTGCGTATTTAATTCATTTTGTTTTTAGAGACAACATCACACTTCTTAACCAGTAATGGACTCTACTGAAACACTGTCAGTGATTGGGAACTCAGCATTTAAAGGGAACTCAGTTCTTTGTTGGGCAGATAGAAGTTTGTTCCATTTGCATAGACTTCTGTGGTTTGGTCTGTCTCCTATTTCAGGAGCAAATCAAGCCTATTATTCCATAAGATGGAAATTTGAAGACAATTGTCTGTCTCTGTTCTGCTCTTCCATATTGCTAAATATTTTCTTCTCCACACTGGTTTCTACAGTCTTACCTTATTGATTCAACAGTGTTCTTTCTGTCCCATCTCACCTTGCCTCAGTCTTCCCCTAGGCTTCTGTGATACCACACTCTTGGGGGTTGTCCTCTTGTTTCTTGGAGAGTGAATGTCCAGTCTCCTTGTGGGCTTTTTTCACAATTCCTTTAGATGTTGGTGTTTCTGAGCTGCTGTAGGTCTTACTTTTCTTCACACTGGGCAGTCTCATCTGTCCGTATGCTTGGATCCGTAAGTTGATGGCTCCCAAATCTCTCTCCCATCTCCACACCTGTATTTCTATTTGTTGAGCATCTCCATTTGGATGTCTCACAGACATCAAAGTACATTCAAAACTGAGCTTATGTTTTTCTAAATCTTGTGTCCTTCCTATGTTCCCTGGCTCAATGTATGTACTGTCAACCTCAACTAAAAATGTATTTTCCTTGACTCCTGCTTTCCTTCCCAGTCTAATCAATCATCAGGTGTTATTAAGGCTAGCACTTAAGTATCACTCTAATCCATCCTTTTATTTTTTTCCATCTTCATTGTTTAGTAACTTAATTCAGTCCTCATAGTTATTGCATGCAACAACCACTTCCAAACCTGCAAAAACCATATGAAGTGTAGGGAGTGTTGGTAGGAAATATTTTTAACTCAACCTGTGAGGAAATACAGATTCAGAGAAGTTAAGTAAGAACTCAGATCTCTCTAGTGTCTTACATATTTTAACTAAGTCTAAAATGAAAGGCTTTGTTTTTAGCATTCTAAATTTCTCCAGAAGACATTATCTCCAATAATACCAGCCTGGGCGGTGGAGCAAGACCTGTCTCAAAACATACAATACCACCAAAGCCTTTCATTTTAAATTCTAATGTAGTGTTTAAAGTACATTTAGATAGCAGAGATATTGTATGCCATTTGTCAATTACATGAGGATTAAAACCTCACCTGAGCCATACTGCACTTTCTATTTAGAAGGATGAATCATTTCTGGGAATACAGTTTTGTAATTTACATGTGGAAAATTTAAAACTTTAAGGCTTCAACATGAGTATTTTATGTACATAATTATAGGAAACCAATATTCTTTGTAGCTGTTGAATTAAGTTCAAAGACCTTTCAAAGATAATTCTAAGTCTTTTTAAAAAGATTATTTAAAGTACACAGCTTTTCAGCCAGTATTGGTGAAGAAACATTTTGAGAGTATGACGGAATAAAACATCTTCTTAGAAATTTCAGCTGTTTTTTGTTGAGATTTGTTCTCTTCACATGTGTCTTTAAAAAAAAGAAAAAAGAAAGGAAGAAAGAAATATTCTCAAAGTTGCTTTCAAATCCCAGCACTTTGGGAGGCCGAGGCAGGAGTATTGCCTGAGGCCGGGAGTTCTAGACCCCTTGGGCAACATTGTGAGACCTTGTCTCTACAAAACATTTAAAAAATTAGCTGGGTGTGGTGGTATACGCCTGTAGTCCTAACTACTTTGGGAGGCTGATTCGGGAGGATCACTTGAGCCCAAGAGGTTAAGGCTGCAGTGAGCTTTGATCGCCCCACTACACTGCAGCCTGGGCAATGGAGCGAGACCCTGTCTCAAAACAAACAAACAAACAAACCCAACTACCAGTAATTATATGTTATTGTAAGTTGTTTTCAGAGGGATGAGCTCAAGTGTAGTTATGAATGTGGCTCTTCAGAATTACCTTCACCATGGAAGATTGATATATGTTTAAATTAAGATCCAGATAAATATGAAGGAAAGCAGACCATGAAACCTTTAGAGGAAGGATGCATATTGGCTTTGTTAATGTGGTAGAGAGGAAAACTGAACATTCTAAATTTGGCTTCTAGTAAAATTTTGATTGATTTCTTCACCTTCATTTCCCTATTGAAAAATGGGGAAAATAGTTCCCAGCAGTCTGCATTATGAGATTGTTTTTTAGATCAGTATTTAAGAAGGGCTCAAAAGAACATCACATCAGTCGTGGATGCTCTGGAATCCTACCACTTGATAGTAACTATCTTCAACATCTGGGAAGGAGTAAAGAAAAGATGGTCCAAACAACTTTTCATTTCTGTTATTTGTAATGTGTTGATAGTTCTTTCATTGACTGTATGGCATGTTTTATGGATCCTAAGAAACATTTTCCAATTTTATTCACTAAAATTTGGGTGTGTCTTACAATTAGTGGCATATTACAGTTAAATTGACTTTTTTTCTTTCTCAGTGGTATATAAAATATCAGTCTTAAAATCAGTCATCTCTGGCCGGGCACGGTGGCTCATGCCTGTAATCCCAGCACTTTAGGAGGCCAAGGCGGGCAGATCACCTGATGTCAGGAGTTCGAGACCAGCCTCAACATGGAGAAACCCCGTCTCTACTAAAAATACAAAATTATCCGGGCATGGTGGTGCATGCCTGTAATCCCAGCTACTCGGGAGGCTGAGGCAGGAGAATTGCTTGAACCTGGGAGGCGGAGGTTGCAGTGAGCCAAGATCATGCCATTGCATTCCAGCCTGGGCAACAAGAGCGAAACTCCGTCTCAAAAAAAAAAAAAAAAAAAAAAAAATCATGTCTCAGCTTTGATTAAAAACAGGATATATGTCTATTAATATTCAAAATAACAACAATAACAGTACAGTGACCACCATACCTGAGGATCACTTTTTTGGTAGGTAGCCTCTACTTTCTTAAACACAACCAAGAACTGGAAAGTAAGAAACAAAGGCTTCTGATGCTTAAAATCACTGTTACAGAACTCATGAAGTAAAGGCCAGGTACTTAAACTTACAAGATCCCTTTGCCTCTGAGTGTAGTGTCTTATTTTGTAGTTCATTAAGTTAATCCTAGGTATCTTATTACAGAGTCCACAGGGATTCAAAAGAGTAAACTATGGGAGGCTGAGGTGGGCAGATCTGAGGTCAGGAGTTCAAGACCAGCCTGGACAACATAGTGCAACCCTGTCTCTACTAAAAATACAAAACTTAGCTGGGCGTGGTGGCGCATGCCTGTAATTCCAGCTACTTGAGAGGCTGAGGCAGGAGAATTGCTTGAACCCAGGGGGCAGAGGTTGCAGTGAGCCAAGATCGCACTGTTGCGCTCCAGCCTGGGTGACAGAGCGAGACTCCATCTCAAAAAAAAAAAAAGTAAACTAAAAAGGAATGCATATAAATGTTTATTAAGTGGTGGTTCTAGGACTTACTGTACTTTGTGCTGAGAATGAGTGACCCATAAACAAATAATTAAAAATTATTTTTTAAAAATAACACAAAACTCAGAACAGGCCACTTAGAGCTATTTTTGTTTTTGTTTTTGTTTTTGTTTTTAGACGGAGTCTCAGTCTCACTCTGTTGCCCAGGCTGGAGTGCAGTGGCACAATCTCGGCTCACTGCAACCTCCGCCTCCCAGGTACACAAGATTCTCCTGCCTCAGCCTCCCGAGTAGTTGGGATTACAGGCGCCCACCTCCACGCCCGGCTAATTTTTTGTATTTTTAGTAGAGACGGGGTTTCACTGTGTTAGCCAGGATGGTCTCGAACTGCTCACCTCATGATCCGCCTGCCTCAGCCTCCCAAAGTGCTGGGATTACAGGCATGAGCCACTGCGCCTGGCCCACTTGGAGCTATTTTAGGAGGAGCTTGCAACCTATGTCAGTTACGCTGATTACAGCTTAGAAGAAATTTCTTATCAAAATGTAATCTGATTCCACTAGCACTTTCTTTAAGGGACAATATGATTGTACCTTTAAATTTTGATTGGAGAATATTGTTGATTAAATTTTCCCTTCTTATGGCTTAATGGAATTACTAGAACGTATTTTTCCTTGAAAGTATCAGGAAAAAAAAAAACAACTTTTGGGAGGCATCTGTTACACATCTGAAATAGGATTTGATTCTGTAATTCCAGTGGTCTCTAGACCTAGATAATTCTACCCATGTTGCTAGATGGCACCAGGGTGCCATTTTTAGGCCTTAGGGCTAAGGAATGGGCGTAGGTGGTAGGGAGGTGTTAGGAAAGAAGTAGGGAAGAAAAACTTTGGGAACATATTGTGGTACTGAAGACTGTCTCTAGGAGTTCTCAGTGGGCAGTTGCATACCAGGTGTCCAGCTGCATTATTTATGTTTGAAGTAAACCCAGGCTGTGTGTCTCCATGAATTCATAGTATTGGGGGCTTTTCAAGACATTCATTCCCCTAAGATGTGAATTTTGAGCATAGCTTGTTGGCCTCAGGCACTTTAACCTGAGAGTAGATGTTAAGTTCTGCTTGTTGGCAGGTTTCCAGCATTTACTCATTAGAGTTTCCCTACTTAAATGCTCCTGGCAGTTTCCCTTGGCCACTGTGTTCTTCACAGTCTGCCCAAACGTGTTTTGTATGTAGTCTGCTTTTGGGCTCTGCTTAGACACTTACAGCTTTTGTTTCTAAAGAACCCTTCAGTAAGTATTGATTTGTATTTTCTTTAGTTAATAATTCATTGATTATAAAAGCTATTCAAACACTAGAAAACATAAAAAGAAAAAATCCTTTTCATTCTACCACCAAATTAATCAGTGTTAACATTTTAGGGTGTGTTCATCTAGTCTCTTTTTGTGGGTTTATGTATTTTATGTGGAGGTAGGGGAGAGAAAAATAGGTGTAAAACATTATTTTGTAAAAATGCAAATCCTCTCAAGTTTGCTACTGGGTGTGAAGAGCAACTTTTAAAATAAAATTTTGTAGAATAATTTTAGAATGTTAAGTTGCAAAGATAGTACAGAGATTCCCATATACCCTTCACCTAGCTTCCCCTAATGTTAACATCTTACATAACCGTGACATATTTGTCAAAACTAAGAAATTAATACTAGTACAATACTATTAACTAAACTACAGACTATTTACATTTCTTCTGTTTTTCTAATGTTCTTTTTCTGTTCCAGGATCCAACCTAGGGATACATATTGCATTTAGTGGTTTGTTGTTGTTTTGAGACAGTGTCTTACACTGTTGCCCAGGCTAGAGTGCAGTGGCATGATCACAGCTCACTGCACTGTTGGCCTCCTGGGCTCAAGCGATCCTCTCACCTCAGCCTCCCCAGTAGCTGGGATTACAGGCATTCGCCACCACGCCCAGCTAACTTTTTTTTTTTTTTTTTGTAGAGACAGGATCTCACTAAGTTGCCCAGGCTGATCTTGAATTCCTGGGCTCAAGCAGTCCTCCCTACTTGGCCTCCTAAAGTGCTGGGATTGTAGGTGTGAACCACGTGCTCAGCCCAGCTTTATTTTTTTTAATAATATTTTTTTTTACCTTTTTTCGTTTTTCTTTTTTTTGAGACGGAGTCTCACTGTCACCCAGGCTGGAGTGCAGTGGCGCAATCTCAGCTCACTGCAACTTCTGCCTCCCAGGCTCAAACAATTCTCCTGACTCAGCCTCCCGAGTAGCTGGGATTACAGGCATGTGCCACCATGCCTGGCTAATTTTTGTATTTTTAGTAGAGATGGGGGTTTCATCATGTTGGCCAGGCTGGTCTCAAACTCCTAACCTTAGGTGATCTGCCCGCCTCAGCCTCCCAAAGTGCTGGATTACAGGCATGAGCCACTGTGCCCAGCCCTTTTTTCTTATACTTAATTTTATATCATGAACATTTTGTCTTTGTCATTAAATAGCTTTTGAACAATACTTATTTTAAGAGCTCTATAAAAGTTAATCACAGGGATAGATGTGCTCGGATGCAAACTTTTCTGGTAAACTTTTTGTTGTTGGCATTTCATGAGGGGGAATGTTACAAAACGTATATACAATTGACCCTTTAACAACACAGGGTTTGAACCGTATGGATCCACTTATAGATGGATTTTGTCAACCAGAAAGTATTTGTGGGATGCGAAATTTCCATATACAAAGGGCTGACTTTTCATACACACAGATTCCACAGGGATGACTGTGGCACTTGAGTGTGCACGTGTTTTGGTCCATACAGAGGCACTGGAACCAATACCCAGATACACCAAGGGATGACTATACAGAACAAACATTTTTATTAGTGGGATACTTGAATCGGGTGTGTTAGATTGTAACAGTTATTTTGAGTGCACTGCTCTAGAAGTAGAGAATAAATAGGCAAATTTAGTTTTCTTTGAGAATATATTTAACAATATTTTAGGTTGATTTAAATGCAGAAACATTTAAATGAGCTATTTGTGAAACAGTTTGTTTTGGGGGTTATAGTTGCTTGGCATTTGGCATAGCTTCTTTTGATCAGTGTGTGTGTGGCGGGGGGGGGGGCGGTGTACACATGGTATACACATTTCATGTGCACATAGTCAATATTAGACTTTAAAAAAAAATTAGAGATGATGTCCTGCTATGTTGCACAGGCTGGTCTCAAAGTCCTGGCCTCAAGCAATCCTCCTGCCTCAGTCTTCCAAAGTACTGGGATTACAGGCGTAAGCCAGCACACCTGGCCCATATTTAGACTTTTAATATTAGTCTAGTAACATCATATCCAACTGAGTTTGGAAATACAGATTTATAGTAAATTGTGCTTATACATTTCTATATTCAGTTTTGAAAAATATCTTTTAATTTACTTTTCTTTCTTTCTTTCTTTCTTTTTTTTTTTAAGTCTCACTCTGTTACCAAGCCTGGAGTGCAATGGCGAGATCTCAGCTCACTGCAGCCTCCACCTCCCAGGGTCAAGCGATTCACATGTCTCAGTCCCCTGAGTAGCTGGGACTACAGGCATGTACCATCGCACCCGGCTAATTTTTGTATAGAGACGGGGTTTCATTGTGTTGGCCAAACTGGTCTTGAACTTCTGACCTCAAGTGATCTGCCTGCCTTGGCCAAAGTGCTGGGATTACAGGCGTGAGCCATCGTGACCAGCTTTTGCTTACTTTTCTGTTATCCAACATTAATGTTTATTTAGTTCTAGGTTAAAGTATCATATATAAAAAGTGAAGATGCCTAGGGATTTTCTTACGTGTCTTTTAGTGTTTTATTGATGTTTATGGTTTGAATAATATTAGTTCGTGTATTTAACATGAATCTTGAAATTAGAGTGACTTGGATTTAAATTTTGTTGTTTTAAAAAATAAAGCCATGAAGCCAAATGCTTTTTAAGAACTATTAGGTATACCATATTAAGGAAAATATTATAAAATTCGTACTGTGGTTTTACCTCCTACAGTTGCTCAGTTTAGTAAAAACTTCATTGTCTATAAACATGAGTGTAATAGAAAAAACTGAATTGATTTTAAGTTACTCAGTGATTACATTAAGAACAACTTGGCATTTATTTGGGAAATAACAATTCCTTTGAATTTCACAGTATTTTTTAGTAAATGGGTATTGGGTTAAAGATTTTATATATGTGTTTTTCATAAGTTAAGTATTTATTATGCTAGAGTTCTGTCCCTGCTAAGGGATTAGTGTTTATTAGTAAATTTCTAAACTAGAGGTTTATTATGAAGGTTAAGTGACCCTTTATTAATTTGACACAGTTGTAAGATTAATACATAGAAATTATCACTGAGCTAAAGAATAAAAACATGGAATTTTGATCTACAATGTTTACAGAAAACTGAATGCACTGACTCTATGAGATCAAATCTATTCATTCAGATTTTCAGAGTTAATGATAATCGTTTTCTAGAGAGTACCTCTACTTTCTTACTGCTACCTTAAAAGCACACACCTTTGCTTTCTGTGGTGCGATCTGTGAATTTTTAGTGGAGAGAGCTGTGTGATTGCTCATATAGAATGTTCATCCTTTTGGTGTTGCTAGAGGATGGTATTTGATTTCCCTGTATATGTTTTTATACTAAACTAAGAGTTTCTTTGAGAGTTCTGAAGGTTGATTGTGTGTGTGTGTGTGTGTGTGTGTGCGCGCGCGCGCGCGCGCAGGTGCATGCACGCTAGGATTGTTGCCCTTGGTACTAATGACCTTATTGAATTAGCTAAGACAGAGTGACTCATCTGCTGGATTTGCACATATCTTAGGGCAGACATTATGGGCGCTCCAATTTAATTGTCTAAATTTCATCACCAGTGTTTCTTCCTATAGATACGTACCAAGATTAACAATGACTCCAGGATAGAGTTATGACCAACACTACTAAAGGTAGAGATAGTATTTTGTATCATCTTCCATTTTAGCTTTTTCTTTTTTTAAAAAGCTAGTTTTTTAGCAAACTATTTTAGTAACATTTTCTTAGTATTTGCCAAATACCCACACAAAATTGTTTTATATATATGTGTGTGTGTGTTGTTTTACACACAAACAAATGAATCTCTATATATATATTGTTGGATTTCTGTTCCTAAAAAACAAAATACATGATTAAAAGGGACTTTGTCAGATTCACTGTGAGATATGGGGTTAAAGTGTGTGAGTTTTCTGGGTCTAGAAGGGAAGAGGGAATCTGACGTTCAGGTCATTGTACAGTGACACTGCAAGTCCAGTTGCTGTCGGGGGAATGTTTATAAATGGATGTTGTGCCTTGAAGGTTAGACTTTGGACATCACAGACAGTAAAACACTATTAATTGTTTTCTTACCAATGTTAAGTTAAATTCTTCTTGTATGTAATCTCAATTTTCTGCCTCCATGGGAAAGTATTCTGGTAGGACATTAGTGGTTTATGTAAGATTTTAAGGGGAAATGTGAATTACCCTCAGTAGTACGAACTGACCCTTGGTGAAATGGCCATGTGCCTTCTTTCCTACCTATCTCCTAATATTTTCCCATGAACACCCTACATTCCAGCTCTAAGGAACTACCTGGTTCTCCTGGAGGAGGCCGTGTTGTTTTAGGTTTGGGGGGTTTTGCATGCTTTCTTCTTAATCTGGATTGCCCCTGCCCTAGCTAACTCCCATCCACCTTTCAGGACTCAGTATAGGGACCAGCTTTCCCAGGGAGACTTTTTTGATGCTATTTCTGTCTTTCCTTCTGTTCTGTATTGAATGTTTTGATAGCACCAGCACATGGGTCTGCAGTTCTGCCACATACTCATTTTCTTGTCTGTCTCTCCCACTAGACAGTAAGCTCCTTGGAGTCAGGGAATGTGTCCTTTATCTTTATTTCTAGCACTTAACTCAGTGCCTGACACACAGAATAGGTGCTCAGAAAATACGTGGTAGAATGCCTCAGTGTATGGATAGGGAAATGAATTAATTCATTGTTTAATTTTCTCTTTAATGTTGATAGTTGCTTAAAAATCATTTTTATCTACTAAGTAACCTTTTGTTAGCTTAATTCAAGCAACTATGCCTGAAATAAAGAAATGCCACTTTAGGCTGGGCAAAGTGGCTCACACCTGTAATCCCAGCACTTTGGGAGGCTGAAGTGGGAGGATTGCTTGAGCCCAGAAGTTCGAGACCAGCCCGGGCAACATAGACCCATCTTAAAAGAAATGCCACTTTATTAATATTTTAGATTTATCCACAGAAAAGTGAATTGATGACAGTTTAAATATACATAAGCATATGCTTAATCTTTCTTGATCATACTGGTTTTACTTATGTTTTATAGAGAAATGAGAGGAATCTGGTTTAAACTGCAGTTCAGGGAATTTTGATTAGATATAATTGCCAGAAATTAAGGTACCAGATATTGAAGTGATTTGTAAGTAATGTAATTGATTTTTTTCAAGAGTTAAAAAGAGGGGGTGAGTGGAGGGTTATGAATTATGAAGCAGTTCATCAACATTGCCCTCAGATTAAAAAAAAACTAAAGAAAGATCTGTTTAGGAATGTGCAAATACAACCATATTCATGGATGGATGCTTAAAAATAGTCACGTACCTTTGTAGTTTTGTGTATAGGTGTGTGCTTTAAATTTTCACCTAACAAGGGAACTGTTGCAGATGTCCTTGCTTTTGACATAATGGCTCTGATTTAAGGCAACTAGCAGACTGTACTGAGAATCTCCCCTCCTTAGCTTTTTTTCTTAACTCTTCTTTTTCAGAATAATATAAATAATTCAGAAATCTTTGTCAGTGTTAAGAATTAACAGGAAATTAATGTGTATATTAAAAGACCTACCCAATGGTTTAAAAAAAAAAAAACAACCAGACCGTGGACACAACACAGTTTTTGAATGCCATCCTCTTGATTGTTTTAATATAATAAAACATGGCAGTTTTCTGTGCCCAAAATTTAGTTATGTTGCTATGCTTCTAACTATAGACATTCTTTCCTGGTTGTATTTGAACAAAATTACTGTAGTATAAGCCAAATTCCCCCTCATTGCTAGTGAACCAAAAGAGCACATATACCTTCCTAAGCACCAAATTTATAATCATACTTGTGAATAGAGTTCAGTGTTCTCTTTCCATGTCATTCTGCAAGAATCATATTTGGAATAATTTAGGACAGCTTTACTAAATTTATTAATGTAATACTTGTTATAAGGATGTGCTTAAGTTCTAGATTTTCTGTGCTTACAGTGCAAACGTGTTCTTTGTGAAATAAGAGACAGAATTTTACCTGTAATGGTGATATAATAATGCCTTGTCTTTTAAAATGCTATTAATTTTCGAAATATCTTTATATCCAGAGTTTTTTTTGGTTTTCATAGTAGCTCTGTGAAGTGGGTGTCCTAATCTTACAAATGAGGGAATGTAGGCACAGAAAGGTTGACTGACGGTCAAAGGCATGCAGCATTGTAAAATAACAAAGTATTGTTGTTTTCACAGCTAACATGTACTAGTGCTTACTATATGTTAAACACTGTTTTAAGATTTTTGCGTGTATTAATTCATAAGTGATTGGGCTTTGGTGTCAGATCAAAATTTAAGTCTAGCCCTTCTGATAAGTTCTTGACCTTGGGAAAGCTACCTAACCCTTTTAAGCCTTGGTTTCCTTATTTGGAACACAGAAATAATGGTAGTATGTACCTGATTGGTTGTTTGGATTAAATGAGATAATCCAAATGACTCTATGTGTGGCATACAGTAAGGTAAATTAGTTTGCTATAGAAAAATAGGGTGGTGGTAGACAGCATTTAGTGTAATTTTTAGCCTCTTGGTAAAATTGTTTTCTTTTTTACTAAGTATCATAGTCAATGCAGTTATATATAATGTTTTTAAGAGCTTAATGAGTTGGTACACTGATTCTTTAATATGTTTAACTTCATTTCAAAGCTTATGACTTTTCATTGATAGTTAATAGGTAGATCACTATCATTTCTCTTAATTTTATGTGCAGTCATTAAATTCATTGCAGGATAAGGGTTGCAGAATGCTTATAAGTGGAATGAAGAATGAGAGGAATAGAGATATTTCTGACTTAATTGGCCAAAGTCCCCTAGAATACATTTTAAAAGAGTCGGGCAAAGAGAGTATATATTCACCTAAAAGAAGTGGTTTATGGTAGAATTAGTTCAGCCCTGGGCAGTTTTCCAAGCCAGAGATAAAGCATGGCGTATATTTGAGCTCCTGGAGAAAAGAAAGGGTTAATAAAGAAGAGGGACAGGATTGCCACCCACCTTAAAGTGAGATGTAGCAGCATCTCACAAGGAGTGTAAGCCAACACCTGGCATGCTGATTTTATATATAAAATTGAAGTTCAGAGTTGAAATTGTTGCATTTGAAGTTCAGAGTTGAAATTGTTGACTGTGGGTACATGGTTTTGGAAATGTTCATTTTGGCTATCAATCATATTCTCTAGTTAATATGTAGATTAAAATGAGACTATTCCCATAACCCCTAATAAAATGCCTGGTACAGAGTAGGTTTTCAGTAAATTTTAGTGTCCCTGTTTGAGTGAGTTTGAGTTTTTTTGTGCTGTGAAGGGTAAATAAATTGACCAGAAATTTTTCAAAAATACATTGAAATCTCTTGTAACTCTGGACTGTAATTTATCACTGTAATGTCACTGTTCTGTGATTCTGTGGCATGCTTGTTCATACTGTTGATTTTCTGATTTACTGATTTTTCTGAACTGGTTTTGGAGGGGTCTTGTGGAATAGGAAGATATGGGGGATGGATTTTGAAGACAGTCAGCTCTTCAAGAGGAATTATGGTGAGTGAGGTTTAGGAAATGTCACTGGGGATGGAGAATTAGTCTGCTACTGGCCAAAATGGGTTTTTAGAGGTGGAATGGAACCTTAGAGGTGGTTTAATCTAACCCCTCATTTTACAGCTATGGAGATAAGTATAGAGAAGTGAGTTGTGCAAGTATTATCGCTGTAGTAGAGAAGCCAGAAACATCATAGAACTTAGACTATCACATTTTTACTTTTTCTTCTGAAAAAGAATGATAACATGTGCATATTATATTACTTTTTAAAATTGATGTTATATGTTAAATACTTTTTATTCAATCTTTTAGACTTTTGAGTTTGTTTAAATAGATTAACTGAACTAACTGTGCTGCCAGAAAGCTCATAAGGAATATTATTCTTTAGAAATGAGAAATTCTCAATGTTTTTCTTCTGTTTTTAGGTTAAATCAGCAAACAAAGAAAACATGGTATTTTGAAATATGATTAAACTCCTGATGCTGCAGCAGAGGCTAAGAATATTAATGGCCAGATCTAGGTAAGTTGAAGTTTATTTATGTTTTACATCACTAAGCCTACATTTACAATTATTTTTTATTTTTATTTTAAATACAGATGAAGTCCTGTTATGTTGCCCAGGCGGTTTCTAACTCTTGAGCTCAAGCGATTCTCCACCTCAGCTTCCCAAAGTGTTAGGATTACAGGCGTGAGCCACCACTCCTGGCCTATAATTTTTTAATGAGAGAATTTAATAATGTTTTCTTGAACTGCAACCATTTTTCTTCCTGATTGCTGACACCACCCCCCTGCTCCCAAAGGATGAAGATAAATGGCTTTAATTAACTAAGACATGTTTACTAATTTAAAGTATTCAGCAAACTTGTTATAGCATTGCTCTTCCCAAACAAAAGCTACCTTTTATTTTATTTGTATTTTTAATTTAATTTAATTTTAATTTTATTTTATTTTTTGAGACAGAGCCTTGCTTTGTCGTCCAGGCTTGGAGTGCAGTGGCATATCATAGCTCACTGCAGCCTCGACCACCTGGGTTTAAGTGATCCTCCCACCTCAACCTCCCAAGTAGCTGGGACTACAGGTGTGTGCCACTGTGCCCAGCTAATTTTCTATTTTTTGTGGAGACAGAGTCTCACTGTGTTGCCCAGGCTGGTCTTGAACTCCTGGGCTTAATTAAGCAGTCCTCCCACGACAGCCTCCCAAAGTGCTGGGATTACAGGTGTGAGCCACCACACCCGGCCTACCTTTTGTTCTTAAATGTACCCTACTTACTTTTGTATGTTGCTGTCTTGAGTGAGCATAATAAAATCATTTGTGTTTTTGCTGAGTTACAAACCTGGAGGAGTGTATGCAAATGAGATCACATGGTTGTTCCTCAAGTGTTTACAATATTAATGCATATTATTAGGTGTCACATAGCTCAGATGTAGTCTTCAAATATTAATCTGGTGGTCATAAATGCAGAATATCTAGTATCTAGCCTTTTCCCTTGCCTCAGAGTTTGTGGTTTAGGAGAAAGAATCAGATATGTGGATGAAAACTTCACATTAAAGAAGTTTCCTTTCAGGAATTGGAAGATTGGCCACAACTGCCCATGTTCCAGCTGTGTCTATCCCTCACTCATGCTAAGCCTGTTCTTTAGCCTTACTGAGGCCACCTGTTTTTTTGTTTTGTTTTGGGGTTTTGCCCCATTTTGTATTTTGTTAGCTCTCTTCTTTCTTTACTTCTTTCCTGACTGGATGTCATGATCTGTCACTTCAAACCCCTGTATTGCCAACATACTTTAGTATCCTTGCCCTCTTACCCTCTGACCGTGGGTCAGTTGAACTGTCTATCCTGTGGACTGCTGAGCACTGCTAGCAAAACAGCATAATCTTGCCTCTGCAGCCTCTGCTGAGTTCTCATCTCAGCCTACTTAATAATCCTGCTCTCTTTTCTTGGGTAGCTCCTTGGTGACTAATCCTGCCATTCTCAAGTCCCTCATTCTACAAGCCTTGCGTTCTCTTTTACAAAGGAAATGCAGGGTGATAAATATTACCTACTTCAGCCTCTTTTCTATATTCGACCCACCCTTATGTCTTTCCTCTCTCCTCAGAGAATGAAGCATTCCTCCTTCTCTGGGTAAACCTCTCAATCTGGGCCCTGGAACTCATCTCTACTATCCCCCTCTGTCTTGATCCATCAATTAGCCCTTCTCTTTTCTTTGTTTTTCCTATGTTTTTAAACTTTCTTGACCTACTGATTATAAGCCTGCATAAATCTATGTCATCTTAAAATACGTAACTCAAGTAATGTATTCTCTTTTGAATATATTCACACCGTAGCCCTCTCTATTCTTTATTTTCTCAACCAGTTCTTCAAAGACCAGTTTCCATCCTCTAGGGGTTACCTCTTTATCTTCCACTTGCTCATTGTAGTTTGGCATCTGTCTCTGCCATGGATGGTGCCCTCCTGCTTGATGCTTACTTTTCTTAGTTTGTACTATTCTGATCTTTTTTTTTTTTTAATTCCTTCACTGGCTTCTCTCTACTCCTGTATTTAAACACATTTGTATTTCCCCAGAATTTCAACCACAGACCAGTCTTCATACTATCCTTGAGCCAGTGTTCAAGAGCTTAAAATGTGACATGTGTTCTAATGTTTTACCTTCTCCCTCAAACACATACTTATGTACTTAACTATTGCACTTGGACATTTCCCTGGGCTCTCAGTTTAACATATCTGAACAAATCATTATCACTTCCTCTTGAAGACTACAGTTTTTTGTATCTCAGGTAATAGACCCCTGGCACCCTTTGTCTGCCATGCTGGAAACTGCCTCTGTTTTCCATTATGTCAAGTCAGTTCTTTGGTGCCACTGACTTTTCCTCTTAAATGTTCCTTAAATTTATTCTTTTCTTCTTCATTCCTACCATTGCTGCTCTTGTTTTAGGTTTTTATCATATTTCATTTTTTAATAATCTCAAACTGATTTTCTTTCCTCTGAGCTAAACTCCTACTTAAATTTATCATACATATGTTTATTTAAAATGCACTTCTGACCGTCTCACTTTTCTACTTAAAATACATCAGTGGTTTTCCATCATGTGTAGGATAAATTCCTTTCTCTTTGGCATGGCATACAAGGCTTTCATATCACATATTAGGCATTTCATTAATTATTGTTGTATTGAACTCAAACATTCAGTGTGGATAGAGTCCCCAAGTAGGTTGCACTGCCACTCATATATCACTTAATGGTGGAGATTCCTTCTGAGAAATGTGTCATTAGACAGTTTCGTCACTGCGCAAACGTCATAGAGTGTACTTACACAAACCTAAATGGTATAGCCTACTATACACCTAGGATATATGGTATAGCCTATAGCTCCTACTCAACAAATCTGAGCAACATCACTGTACTGAATACTATAGGCAGTTGTAACACAATGGTAAGTATCTGCATTTCTAAACATAGAAAAGGTACAGTAAGAAAACTATAAAAGAGAAAAAATGGTACACTTGTATAAGGCACTTGCCGTGGATGGAGGTTACAGAACTGGAAGTTGCTCTTGGGTGAGTTGGTTAGTGGGTGGTGAGTGAATGTGAAGGCCTAGAATGTTATCGTACACTACTGTAGGCTTTATAAAACTGTACTCTTAGGCTACGCTGTTTGTTTAAATAATTTTTTCTTCAGTAATAAATTAGCTTACTATAACTTTTTTACTTTATAACCTTTTAATTTTTTGAAACTTTTTGACTCTCTTATAATATTTAGCTTAAAACACACACATTCTACAGCAGTACAGAAGTATTTTTTTATATCCTTTAAGATTTTTTTCTGTTTTTAAAATTTTTAATTTTTTTTTAACCTTTAAAACTTCTGTTAAAAACTAAGACAAAGACACAAACACACACATTAGCATGGGCCTATACAGGGTGAAAATCATCCATATCACGGTCTTCTCCTCCTACATGTTGTCCCACTGGAAAGTCTTCAGGGGCAATAACATGGAGCTGTCATCTAGGAAAACTGCACCTTCTTCTGGAATACCTCCTGAAGGACTTGCCTGAGGCTGTTTTACAGTTAATTTTTTTTTTAATAAGTAGAAGGAGTATACTCTGATATAATAGTAAGATACATAGTATAGTAAATACATAAACCAATTACATAGTCATTTATCATTATCAAGTATTACGTACTATACATAATTGAATGTGCTATAGTTTTATACACTGGCAGTGCAGTAGGTTTTTTTTTATACCAGCATTATCTCAAACACATGAATAATGTGTTGCACTGTGATGCTGTGATAGCTATAGTGTCAGTAGCTGACAGGAATTTTTCAGCTCCCTTGTAATCTCAGGGAACCACTGTCATATATGTAGTCTGTTGCCAACCAAACATTTGTTATGTGGCTCATGACTGTATATCCCTGCCAGCACGAGAGGTTCTACCTTAACAGGTAGCTTATGAAGATGCCAAGTGGAAGGATGATTTTCCTGCTCCTTTTGAGAAAAAAAAAAGTTTAAAAACATTCCTTTGGAGCATCATCTTTTGAAGCAAAAGCCATACTGTAGTAATCTTTTAGCTCTTCATATTTCACAAGGAGGTCGGGGAGAACAAATATGTACTTTCAAGAAGACTTTTAAAAAATGTCTCTATCAATTATCCCTTTACTTAAAATTTCTTATATTACTCATCCTATAATTTATTAATATTAAACATTTACTATTTTTTAAAAAATTAAATGTTTATAGAATATGTGCCATGTCTGAGGCAGGAGAATCTCTTGAACCTGGGGGGCGGATATTGCAGTGAGCCGAGATCACGCCATAGCACTCCAGCCTGAGCAACAAGAGCGAAATTCCGTCTTGGGGGATTTAAAAAAAAAAAGAATATGTGCCATGTAAGTTGGTATGCTTAGTGCCCTGGAAAATGAACAAGACAAGATTTCCTGTCTTTAAAGAGATCACAGCAAAGTGGATGGTGCAGAAAGATAAACATTGCAGTAGAGTACGATAAAGGCCACAATAGAGTTATGCCATTCTATTGTGGGAACACTAGAGGCAGGCTATCTTCGAGTTAACTGGAAGATCAAGTCTCAAATCTAGGGAACATGTCCCTAGCTTGTTCAGGCTGCTTTATGGTTGGGCCCCATTTGTCTTCCAGTCTACCCTGTAGTCCAGTCATACTGAACGCCTCACTTTCTCCTGAATGTGGTGTGACACTTCATGACTTTTGTCTGTCTCAGGTGCTTATTTCTCTTTATTTTGCTTAGCATGTTGTTTCTGCTCTTCTTTTAAATCCCAGCTCAATTAGTGCTTCCTGTCCTGCCTAACCCAGAAAG
Source organism: Homo sapiens (assembly GCF_000001405.40). Lineage (NCBI taxonomy): Eukaryota > Metazoa > Chordata > Mammalia > Primates > Hominidae > Homo > Homo sapiens. Next base: position 69,567,082 of record NC_000012.12, read on the forward strand.
TTAGTTGTTCCCTTTCATGTGCCCACAGTACTCTGCTCATATCCTAATATAAGGTTTATCGCAGTGCATTATCTATTTACATCTCTCTCTCTCTCTTTCTCTCTCTCCCCCTTGATACTCACAGCTCTTCAAAGACAAAGATGGTGACTTATGTGTCCTTGTACTATGATACTTAGCTGGCATATTAGTTAAAGCAAAAATACCAAATATCATGAGTCTTAATTAACTTTACTATTATATGTTATCATATACACTCTTGGTTTATACGCTAGTACACTTTTTCATTTTCTTAATACTTATACCTGCTAGGGATCCTTCACATTTGTTTAATACAGTCCATTTAAATCACAGGTCCTATAGCACCTTCTGTATGCTAGGTATCGTGTTAGGTACTAGGAATGTAAAAATGAGTAAGGTTCATCCTTGCTGACAAGGGGCTCACAATGGAGGAGAAAAGACAGATAAACAGATACCTGCCACAATTTCTACTCAGTACAAAGTGTGATAGATGCTATGATACTAGGAAGCCCAGGGTGCTTTGGGTTAGCATATGCATGACGGTCATACATAATAGTATAACTTGCCTAGTTGCTTGGAGTCAGGGAAAGCATCCTAGAGGAACTGCACTTTGAGTTGAATCTTGAGAAAGGAAAGAAGCAGAAAGGGAGCAGCTTGGAAGGATGTGAGAGACCAGGATGCTCTGGGGAAACTGCAGCTTGTTTATTCTGACAGGACTAAGAATAGGGCTTGAAACAGAAAGCAGGGAGAGTCTAGACTGGATCTGTTAGACAGGGATTACATTGTATCTGATCGGATCTATCATACTGAAGAGTTTATACTGTTAAACTGAAGATAGTGGAGAGCCACTGAATAATTTTCAACAAGCTTCAATCAAATTTATGTTTGTAATGTTTTGTAGCTTCTGTGCTTCCTTCCCTCCTCCTTTTTCATATATTGTCATATTCTATCTGATTATTTCCCTTGTTTGTAAGTGATGCTTTGGAGTTTTCTTTGTCTGCTCAGTTGGAGTGTTCTTAAACACTCAATGTCAGGTATATAACCACTTACCTCTAACCTTCTATGGGAAAGGAGTATTAAATAGACATGCTATATCAGTTTTGCCAGTATTCTGTGTGTTACTTTACTGCTTAATTTTGAGTTGTCTTTCTCTCTTACCAATGCGCTATTCGAAATTTGATTTTGTTTTAATTACCAATGAACTCTTGTCTTGTGGAGACATAAAAGATACTACAATGAGTAACAACAGTCAAAATACCTGCCAAGCCAGAAGTTCACCATCCCTTTGGTGATTTTTTATTTAAAGAACAAGCCAGGTCTGGTAGTCCTGTAGTCCCAGCTACTCAGGAGGCTGAGGCAGGAGGATCACTTGAGCCCAGGAGTTTGAGCCCAGCCTTGGGCAACATAATGTCTGCCTGCCTGCCTGCCTGCCTGCCTGTCTCTGTGTCTCTGGCTGTCTCTCTCTCTCTCTCTCTGTCTCTCTCTCTCTGTCCCTCTCTGTCTCTCTCTCTCTCTTTAAAGAAGGACATGAAATTCCTGATAAGCCACAAAGGGTTAATTTCATTATTAACTCTTGAACAAAAATTAATTATTTAGGTAATATTATATATGAGACCTTAAGTTGGTTTTTTTTTTAGATGATTTTAGAATAGGTGACCTTTGCAAATTTAACTAGAAATTTGAGATTTGTTTGACATTATTAATGCCTCACAAAATTTATTCTCATTATTACTGAGTAAAATCAACTAGCTAGTTGTATAAAATCTAGCTGCAGCCATATACCTTGTTGGACTTAATTTTCTGCATCAGAATAATGTTTGTGTTAGATGATTTCTAAAGTCTTTTTCTGTTTACAGTTTTTGTATCCTTCATCTAATAAATTTTTCCAAATTATTTTTCATGTAGTGCACACATGGTCTTCTGAAGAAGCCATGGGTAGCTGTTGTAGCTGTCCAGATAAAGACACTGTCCCAGATAACCATCGGAACAAGTTTAAGGTCAGTAAAACTGGTTGAGTTATATATCTTACTGCCTAGTTGGGTGTTCTTCTTTTATTTCACTTAACATATCTTATTTCTGGCTTTTATCACCAAACCTTTCTATTTCCCTTTCTTTCCACCCTGTCTTTCTTGATTTAATAAATGATGACAACATTTTCTTACAGTATGGAATTTTTTTTAGTTTTCCTTCGGTCCTCTGTATCTAATTAGCCATACCGTTCTGGTAATACTGTTTTTAAAATGCCATTTTACGGGGTGCCTTTTCAATCTCATCACTATCTGTCTTTCAGTTATTATTTTCATGTGTGCCTGTGTGATTTCTTAACTGGACTCTACCTCAAGTCACCCTCTGATTCATCCTGTAGTCACCATCAAATTAATCTTCTTCTCTCATCATTCACTAACCTCTTTGCTAAAATTGTGTGGTGTTATTTTACCTGTAGGCTAAATGCTGCTATAGCTGTTTTGTGTCTGATAATTTGACCTCGATCTGTTACAAAGAATAGCCTTGATCACACAAACCTAGGTGTAAGTCTGTCACTTTATAAGCTTTGTGACCTTGGGCAGGTTACGTTATTACTGAGTCTTAATTCCATTTTTGTACAGTGTAGTCTAGGATTGTTATGAGGGTTAAATACATGTAAAGCTCTTTTCCTACTCCCAGGGGAATAGTAACTTCTCCCTAAATGTTACCTACTGCTCTTAGTCTTTGGATGTTTTCTGAAGCTCAGCAGTACAAAGCCTTTCCTCATATGAACTCTGTGCCAATCTATTTTGGTGTCTTTGAAAGGTACTTTTTTTGTTCTGCTTTAACATTGTGTCTTTATGATGTCCCTTTATCTCCTGACCCACTAGATTTCCCCTCTGATTTTATTTTCTGCGTAAATTTATTTATACTAGCGGTCCAGCTAAAGGCCCTCCTCCTCTTAAATGAAGGTGTCTCAACAACCTTAGACCACACTTCCTGCCTTCTGCAGCCTCTGTTGCATTCCTTTGTCAATTAATCATACACTTTTGTGGTATTGACTTTGTGTTTCTACATTTTGTTTCCCCAGTGGGAATGTAAATTTCTTACAGATCTGAACTGGGTGTTACACGGCTACGTAGTCCATGCCTGATACACACATTGGTTGATGAATGAACTAACAAATTACAAATAACTAATTAGCAACAATGCATTTTCCTGACGAATTGGTGACATATTTGCATGACTGTCACCTTCTTTTTTTAGGTCATTAATGTGGATGATGATGGGAATGAGTTAGGTTCTGGCATAATGGAACTTACAGACACAGAACTGATTTTATACACCCGCAAACGTGACTCAGTAAAATGGCACTACCTCTGCCTGCGACGCTATGGCTATGACTCGAATCTCTTTTCTTTTGAAAGTGGTCGAAGGTGTCAAACTGGACAAGGTAGAACCTTTGTTTTTTTTCCCAAATATTGTATTTGAAATTGTTTTTTCAGCTATTCTGTATACAAAGATTAAATTAATATTTTTCTTCTGAAAAAAATCCCAAAATAAACAGATTGTTAAGGAAAGATATAGTATACTGTGTATTAATTTATCAACTGTTTATTAAGCACATTGTCTATGTGAGAAATTTTGGCTCATGTCAACTTTAAGATTTTTCAGTAAATGATTGGGTCAGCTAAATTGACTAAGTGTCTTTATCATTGATTTTTTTACTACCTACTACTTGAATGGCCTTGACAAGTTACAGGACTTCCATTGAATGTTAAATTTCTTCTCTATAAAAGGGAAATGGTAATACCTATCTTTTAATTATTGTAATAATTAAACAAGATAACAATTGGAAAACACCTAGGGACTTTCCAAGGGGCCTGTTACATGGCAAATGATCACCTTGGAATAGTGAGTTGGGCTCCCCCTGCTGTTAAGAAACAGACTAGCGTAAGTGCGCAGGTCTTGATTTCATTAGCTTTATTTTGGGCCATCTCCCTTAGATGAATGAAAATTATTCTGTGAACTTTTGGCGGGGGTTTGTTTTGAAACAGAGAATAATCATTAATTTATCAGATATTTATTTAAAAGGGATTTCTGACTCGGTGCGTAGAATGCTTACTTTACAATTCTGCTGTTTGTCAAGTGTTCCTATAGTTTTTTTTAAAGGTATGTTAACTATTTTTCCCTTTTGGTTTATATTTGTAGGAATCTTTGCCTTTAAGTGTGCCCGTGCAGAAGAATTATTTAACATGTTGCAAGAGATTATGCAAAATAATAGTATAAATGTGGTGGAAGAGCCAGTTGTAGAAAGAAATAATCATCAGACAGAATTGGAAGTCCCTAGAACACCTCGAACACCTACAAGTAAGTACCCCTTTTCCCTTTCACATTTTGAATAACAGACGTTTAGTTGTAAGCTATAGATTGTGGGTATTTAATCAATAACACACTAGAAATCACCACTGGATAACAGAAGTATAATGGTTGTCAGTTTTTAAAAACAGCTGTAGGCCGGGCGCAGTGGCTCACGCCTGTAATCCCAGCACTTTGGGAGGCTGAGGCGGGCAGATCACTAGGTCAGGAGATCGAGACCATCTTGGCTAACACTGTGAACCTCCATCTCTACTAAAAAAATACAAAAAAATTAGCCGGGCGTGGTGGTGGGCACCTGTAATCCCAGCTACTCGGGAGGCTGAGGCAGGAGAATAGCATGAACCCGGGAGGTGGAGCTTGCAGTGAACTGAGATCATGCCACTGCATTCCAGCCTGGGCGACATAGCAAGACTCCGTCTCAAAAACAAAACAAAACAAAACAGAACAAAAAAACACAGCCGTAGTTCTAAGTACTTCAAATATTTAAAAAATGAAAACATTCAGTATTTCATATTAGGTAAAATATGGAGTTGGGGGTAATACTATTTGTGCTCTGATTTCTGCTGTCTTGGCAGAAAGACCTCCTATAATCCTCAGTACAGATTCGATTCTTACTCATTTTTATTCTCTCTGCCCCGCCCCCCTTTTCCTTAAACCAATAAACAAAAACTCAGCTCCAGGATTTGCTGCTCAGAACTTACCTAATGGATATCCCCGATATCCCTCATTTGGAGATGCTTCATCCCATCCGTCAAGCAGACATCCTTCTGTGGGAAGTGCTCGCCTGCCTTCAGTAGGGGAAGAATCTACACATCCTTTGCTTGTGGCTGAGGAACAAGTAAGCATGTGCTACTGTGTAACAGCAATAATGATTGTTCAGAGTTAGGGTATCACTGTGCTAATACTGGAAGATTTTATTCAGCTTGAAGTTTAACTTTATCTGTTTGTAAATTACTTTTGTAGTGAACAATCAGAGGAGATAGCATATATTTGCTGGTTTATGCTCAAATATATGCGGGTATTCAGGGGAACTTACCATTACAGTAGCTTGTGGGTTCACAGAAGAGGTACATCTATAGATTAAGAAAGGCATAACTAATGGTCAGTTCCCATTATAAGAATGTCCAATGGATTAAGAGTTTATGCTGCTTTTCATATTTTAGCCATTATAGTCAGTGAACTACGAGTAGGAAGGTAGATTTTGCTGTTAATGTTATGGAGTTATTTAGTGTTCCCGAGTATGCTAGTTTTCATGTGTGGAATGAAGTATCTGGTTGGAACCTCTGTATTAATTAGTTATACTTATGTTTTGTAAACCATATGTCACATTAAAAAGTTTTTAGTGTTTTTAAAATCAGTTTCTTTGTGTTCTTTACATAATGAGTTGTTATATTATTTACTGTAATTACATGAGTCTTGGTCTGTCGCCCAGGCTGGAGTGCAGTGGCATGATCTCAGCTCACTGCAACCTCCACCTCCCGGGTTCAAGCAGCTCTCCTGCCTCAGCCTCCCAGGTAGCTGGGATTACAGGCGCAGGCCACCACATCCAGCTAATTGTTTCATATTTTTAGTAGAGACCGGGTTTCACCATGTTGGCCAGGCTGGTTTTGAACTCCTGACCTCAAGTGATCTGCCTGCCCCGGCCTCCCAAAGTGTTGGGATTACAGGCGTGAGCCACTGTGCCCGACCCTTGTAAATATTTTTATATTATCTCCCCAAAATACTATTAAGCTTTTCTAAATAGTGATAATTTCTTACTTGGTGGCATTTATTTTATATATATGCATTTTACAGAACTCTTATTAAATCTAGTGGAGTTAATCTTCTTATACATTCAGATCATCAGTAAATAAGGATAAACTTATCTCTTTTCAAAGTCGTTATTTATTTCTGGATCATGTTTTAATGCTTTGAGAACCTCTAAAACAGCAGCAAAATGATAATCCCTATTTTGTTCCTGATTTTTATTTTTTACATAATATTTATCATGTTTAACAATCAAATATAATGTTGCATGTTATTTTATTTTATTTTTTGAGATGGAGCCTCACTCTGTTGCCCAGGCTGATAATGTAATGGTGTAATCTCGGCTCACTGCAACCTCTGCCTCCCGGGTTCAAATGATTCATGTGCCTCAGCCTCCAGAGTAGCTAGGATTACAGGCGCTCACCACCATGCCCAGCTAATTTTTGTATTTTTAGTAGGGACGGGGTTTCACCATGTTGGCCAGGATGGTCTCGAACTCCTACCCTCAAGTGATCCACCCGCTTCAGTGTCCCAGAGTGCTGGGATTACAGGCATGGGCCACTGCGCCCAGCCTGCGTGTTATTTTGAAGTCGTTATTCTTTTATCAAATTAGGAAGACATTTCTACATTTCTCCTTCTCTTTCCACCTTTTTATTAATAAAAAAACAGGTGCAAAAGTTTTGAAGTAAGAGTACATTTGGAGAGAAAGTTAATACAGTTAACTGTTGTCAATAAAATTAACTGATGTGGTCAGGCTTTTTTTCAGTTTTGTTTTTTTAAGTAAGTTAACTAATTCACTTTCTGTTTTGTTTTAGGTACATACCTATGTCAACACTACAGGTGTGCAAGAAGAGCGGAAAAACCGCACAAGTGTGCATGTTCCATTGGAGGCGAGGGTTTCTAACGCTGAAAGCAGCACACCAAAAGAAGAACCAAGTAGTATTGAGGACAGGGATCCTCAGATTCTTCTTGAACCTGAAGGAGTCAAATTTGTTTTAGGGCCAACCCCTGTTCAAAAGCAGTTAATGGAAAAAGAGAAACTGGAGCAACTTGGAAGAGATCAAGTTAGTGGAAGTGGAGCAAATAACACAGAATGGGACACTGGCTATGACAGTGATGAACGAAGAGATGCACCCTCTGTTAACAAACTGGTGTATGAAAATATAAATGGGCTATCTATCCCTAGTGCCTCAGGGGTCAGGAGAGGTCGTCTGACATCCACCAGTACCTCAGATACCCAGAATATCAACAACTCAGCTCAGAGAAGAACTGCATTATTAAACTATGAAAATCTACCATCTTTGCCTCCTGTTTGGGAAGCCCGCAAGCTAAGTAGGGATGAAGATGACAATTTAGGACCAAAGACCCCATCTCTAAATGGCTACCATAATAATCTAGATCCAATGCATAACTATGTAAATACAGAGAATGTAACAGTGCCAGCAAGTGCTCACAAAATAGAATATTCAAGGCGTCGGGACTGTACACCAACAGTCTTTAACTTTGATATCAGACGCCCAAGTTTAGAACACAGGCAGCTTAATTACATACAGGTTGACTTGGAAGGTGGCAGTGACTCTGACAACCCTCAGACTCCAAAAACGCCTACAACTCCCCTTCCACAAACCCCTACCAGGCGCACAGAGCTGTATGCCGTGATAGACATCGAGAGAACTGCTGCTATGTCAAATTTGCAGAAAGCACTGCCACGAGATGATGGTACATCTAGGAAAACTAGACACAATAGTACTGATCTGCCCATGTGAGCCTGGAAAGCATTGTGTTGTTTGCACCTTTGTGAAGTTTTTAAAAATGAAGATGCAAGTGCTTCATTTTCATTTCTAAACACTAACTCCTTTTATAGACTGATAAAATTTTTTTCTGAATATTTCATGTGCATCTTTAACTAAAGGGAATTAATGTAGAGCAGGTACTCCTTAAAGAACACTAATTTCATTATATACTACTCGTTGTACAGCAGCATTCCCGTTTTCACAGTGCCTATTTAAAATGAGAGTTGAAGTAAATGACATGCTGGTTGATTTTTATCAATATTCTGGACTTAACGCATACCTTTCATGTCTAAGTCATGGTTGGCTTTTAAAACTTTTTATAAAGCCTCTTGACAATGTACATTGCTAACAGGTAACTATAGGCTTTGAAAGTAATGCTCGTAGATTCAGTGTTCACAGTATGTGGCCTCCAGCATGTAACATGAGGAATCCTTTATTTCATTAATTAATGGCTTTTTGACTTGAGCCAAAACATATGTAAAGGAAACAGAAGTACCGCACCTCCTCTTACACCAGTCAGCTCCTTTGCCTTCAGTGTTACTAGAAAGCGGCCTGTGTCCATGAGTGTGCTTTGCTGTTGGTGCACTGAAAGGCAGGAAGGAGACAAGATTTTCTATTTACTCATCTCATGATGTCATTTGAAGGGCATGTCCAGATATCTTAAAATTATAATAGGCTCAAGAATCAGTCTCAGGTCACTTTACCCAAAAACATTTGAAAATCTGAACCACAATCTCCTGAAAGTTTTTCTCCTATAGATTGTTGACAACACATTGTTTTCTGGAGGCATTTGTGCCATTAGGTTTCCATTTATCTTCAGTTTTTTTCTTTGGTGTTTGGGATGTCTTATTTTGTTGCCTTATGTCCTTTTCAATTTAAAATGTTTGAGTTTGTATATAGTTTTGAAATTGGATTATGTGTTCATTGTTGTTTAGTTTGCATTTTTGTCAAATTATGGTTTTGAAGGTTCATTTGGAACTTACTGTTAGTCTGTAACAGGGTTGCCCTTGTCCAGTATTTATTTATAAGCTGTTTACTTTTCAAGTTGATAAAAACATTCTCCAATTCTAAATTTGCTTGTGTCCATAGGTGATCTCTTTAGCAAACTGAGAAAAAAAGGAAGCTACTTTTAACATGCAAAGTTCCCTCAAGGTGTACCGTGTTGTCTCTGTGGGCACTCTTCCCCAGCACTTTAGCAGTAATTCCCCCAGCTACACGCTGCAGTTGTACTCTGCCCACTCTAGTGTTCCTCAGCTCTGCTGTCCTTTTACTTGTAGCTGGATCTTTGATTATCCTTCGATTTCCATGAAATATTAATATTGTTGCCAGCATAGCAGGTACAGTGGAAGTCTTGTAGCAGTGAGATTGTATCATAATTTAGGATTTAAAATGAATTAAAGTTTATATAAACTGAAGAGTCTCCATATGTCAAACTCTTGGAAAATCAAAGATGTTCCAATTTCCTAAACACTAGAGAATACGAGAGAAGGTAGAGTGGAAAAGGTTAGGTAACCTTGCAAAATATTTTACTATTTTCTCTAAATATGAGGAAGTTTGAGATTATGATCTGGATCTACCAGATATAACTAAGGTTAATTTAGCATGAAAAAGTTTTAGTCATATTGGCATCCAACCTATTCAGTAACCGAATCATAGGACAATGATGGATTAGGAGAACAATAGAGTGGGATCATTATAAAGAAAATAAATTATTAAAGGTGTCTTTATCGTTTTAGTGCCATTTTTAGTGTCTTTACTATAAATCAATATCAGTGTATTTTATCATTCTATGTGCATAGCAGAATTTTCTTTTCTCCCTTTTGTTCCCCTGTGAACTTGGTGCTTATTAAAGTGCTCACTGTTCTCTTAAAAGAGAGCAGTGGTATAGGTGTGCAGTTTCCATGATGCAGGTTCCATTTTTAATATATTGTTCCACTTATCCTTTCTTCTGAGTAAATTGCTAATTGTGCCAAATTTATGTAATAGTTTTTGTAATGTGGAATAAGAATTATGATGGAACCATTGCACATTTTTTTCTGAAACAGCCAGTCAAGGCAGAACATTAATCTCCAAATGCAAGGGCTGATCTATTTATTCATTTTGGAGGTTGGGTACTTTATTCTTTCTTTCCGTCATCCTTTTCATTGTTTCCCCCGGATTCTAATTAGTTTTTATTTTTTTTAGATAACTCCAATATAATCATTACAGTTTATGCTTTAAATACTATGTGCTTTAAAAAGGAAAATGGGACCAATTTGTCTGCTAAGAATTTGATTTTAGGTACTATAAGAGTATTAGGAAAATATATACAACTGGTGTTAATTTCTAGATATTTTCTAGAAATCACTTGTGTTCCTATTTAATAAAAGGTAATTTAGAATACTACTTGTCCTTTGCAGTAGTTTAGTAATGGGCATTAAGCTGTGTCCTCGAAGGATGTACCTATTACTAGGTGCATTTTAGAATGAAATATTGATATTTTATTAGCATATAATTGTGGCCATATATCTCAGATTTTCTGAGGCAGATCTAATTTTAGATAATTCTGTTGGTAGACCATGTGATCCTTCTTTTTGGTTTTGGAAATATAATCATTGTTAATGTTTTCCCTCCAAATAGAATACTGTTTTATCCATACAAATCATAACAGCATCTATCCCATGCTAGGGTTGGAAACTGATATTGGTATTACTTGTGTTTTTTCTTAGTGTGTTTTATTTCCCAGTTTCATCTTCTTCTAAAAATGAAAATATGGTGCCTTCCCTCCCTCCAGGAAGACTGGCAAATATTTCCTTTTATTTACTGCTGCTGTGGAGTGATGAGATATGCACTTTACTCTTTAAGATTCAGCAAAAAGCTTTTCACTTCTCAGTATATCCAGAATACATCATATCTGGGACTTAGGAAAATTTGCCAAGCAATCTTTGTTTTTATAGATACTAATGTTGACCCTCTCCAGCGTTCAATGTTATAAATAGAACAAGTCAAGCTAGTGTTTATCTCCTCCCCCTCCCCAAAACTGTGGCACAGCATATAAAAATGTACCTCAATAATGTTCTATTAAAAATGGGACAGGGGCCTTATGTTTTCATAATTTCCCAACAATGTGCCGCCATATTTTTGCCTCAAGGTAAAGGTTTTAACAGATGAAAAAGTACTTCCCAATTCCCCCGTGCTATTCCTAACCTATAATGCCCAAATGTTTTGTGCAATGTGTAGTGTGTGTGTATAAATACATATATTCTTGAAATAGACATACCATCAGAGACATCATTCACAAGTAACTGATGTATTGGCATCTCATTCATATTTCTGATGTGTGAGGTATATGGTACTAATTACCTTTTCCTTGATGTTTGCCAAATTTGAATAAAGGCATTGGTACGAAATTACAGAATGTAAAGAAAATGTTTTTGGCTTGAAAAATTAACATATTTTATGACGTACCACAGTATACTCTGCCCAAACCAGCACCCTATCTATCTTTCCTGTTCTTTACATCCCTGTTCCCCATCCCTACTTCCTCATTTTTGGTATAACACAGTTCTTTTGTAGCATCATTATAATTGCAGTTCTATGGCAATTGGACAGTTATAGCATGGAAACAGACTGGTATAAGTAGTACAGTAGTCACCAGTGTGCCACATTTGCATTAGTAATGCAAAATATACATTTTATAAAGGACAAACTTTGTGTTATGTTTTATTTTCATTACATTGTATAATATTGTAAGACTATTGTATGTCCTAATTTGCATTATAAATGTTTTTTTCCTACGTAAAGGCATAAATATAGCAACTTTGTATAAAGGTAGCTTATTAGATTTTTAATTTTTTCTTTTATAAAAAATTGTCCAACAGTGGGACTACCATTGCCAAATTGTATATGAAATATGAATTTTACCCCCATGGTTAATTTCTTTTATAAACATTCCATATTTCTCTAATAAAAAGACATAAGTGATACTGTACTATGCATACATTGTATCTTAATGCTGTTTCAGATCAGCATTTTAAATTTTGGTTTGCATTTTTAATATTGGCAAAACGTAACCACTGTTAATTAAAATAAAACCTTGTTGTATATGTAACAACATAATTTTCCCTCTATCCCTTCCCACCCTTTGTTCTCTATTTCTCCCTATCAGTGCCAACTTCATACATTTTGTAGCATGGCAATAAAATATAACTTTTACACTGAGGCCGAGTGTGGCTTTTTGGAGGAAGTGGGGATGGGACGATTGCCCTCTAGTTGTCCTTTGCATATGACTGTTTTTTGCCATATAAGCCATGTCATCAGGCATGAAAAGTTTTCTCATATATGATGTAAACTTGCTTTTAAGGACAAGTGTGAATGTGCTTTTTAAGCTTAATTTTTGTCATGACAACTAATTTTTTTTATCTTTGGAGAAGTCAGAGTTCTTTACAATCAAACGTTTATTAACTGGAGTACTTAGAATAAGCTAGTAATTGAATTTAGTTCAAGGGCTAAGCAACACATTTTTAAATCCTTATTTATTGTAGAGTATTAGTATACTGTCCTACAAATTATGTAAAATATGGTTTAATATTAGATGACTTTGGATTTTGCAATGCCTTACTGTTGTCATTCTAGCATAAATATCCATAATGAGGTACTCAAGTTGATACTGGAAGCTGAGCTGATCATACACTGACCTGAAGCATTCATGAAAAGCTGCTTTATTGAATAAAGTCTGATTGGAGTTCTTTTCATGCTCACTTTCCCCTTATTGCTGAAAGTAGATTGCAATAAAACCCCAATAAAACGTTTGGTCGGATATCTACTTAAAAGTTTTATTGTATTTATATTTCACATACTACTTGAAACTTTGTGACATTTTCTTTCCTAGTCTCATATCACTGCCTCCATTTTCAAAATGAAGATATCAAAATGAAATTGTAACTATATGACAGGCTTTCTCACAGTTTTAGCTGTGTGATCATTCCAAATAGTAGTTCTCAGCTCTGGGACTTCAAACCTGTTTTTAGCCACTGAGTGACATTGCAAAGCCTTAGTTGAGTACAGGTCAAGATGGAAATTATTTAAACAATGAAGGAGATGGACATGTCCACAAGTGATTGATGTAACTGGCATGATAAAGACACACACAAAGGAAGGGCATCCAACTCAGCCTAGGGGTGGAGGTTTTCAAGCAAAGCTTCTTAGAGGGGGTGATCCCTGAGGTGGTTTGTTGAAAGTCTTTGTAGCTTAGAGAGGATGTCTTAGGGAGAAGGGATAGCATGTGCAAAGGCACAGAGGTATAGAAAGATCATGACATTCAGTGGTTGCAAGAGGTTCCAAATGACTAAGCGCATGGAGAGCAAAGGCAGGGTTGGGGGATACAGAAGAAAGGAGAAATGAGAAACAGATCACAGAATCCTAAGGAGCTTTTGTTTAAATTAGGTGAGAGAACTTGAAGGATTTTAAACACCAGAAAAATAATAGTTTAGAAAGATTTCTCTGACAACATGGATACGTGAAGGGCGCAGTATTTTTTTTTTTTTTTTTTTTTTTTTTTTTGAGACGGAGTCTCTCCCTGTTGCCCAGGCTGGATGGAGTGCAGTGGCGCCATCTCGGCTCACTGCAAGCTCCCCCTCCCAGGTTCATGCCATTCTCCTGGCTCTGCCTCCCAAGTAGCTGGCCCTACGGTATTTTAATAAAGCAGGGAGACTGGTTGAGAGGCTTTTTCAGAAATGGAGCCAGATCTGATAAATCCGTATTCAAAGGCATTGTTAAAGGACTGTTTAGATTGTTTACTGCTGTGCAACAAACCACCCTAAAAGTTAGTGGCTTAAAGCAGCAATCATTTAATGTCTCAAGTTGCTATAGATCGAGATGGGCAGGGCACAGCAGAGATGGCTCATCTCACATGATGTCTGGAGGCCTGGCTTCCTCATATGCTTTGTGCCTATGCTAGTATGATTCAAGCAGCTGAGGGCTGGCTGGACCAGTTCCACTAGGTTATGTCTGGAACTTAAAGCTCTCAGCTGTGTTCCTTAGTTTTCTTCCATGAAGTCTTGGGTCTTTCTTCATGTGGTCTTCTTACATGGCAGCTTAGGGTTCCCAAGAGCACAAAAGTAGATGCTGCTAGGCTTTCTTGAGGCCTAAGCCCAGAACTGGCACAATGTCAATTCTGTTGTATTTTGTTGAATTACAGTGGCTCATATAAAAGCATGAACATCAAAAGTGTAGTTTATTCAGGGCCACCAATGTAATAGAGGGCCTAAAGGAGGAAGAATTAACACCTCTGATTGATAAGGGGAATGACAGAAATGGAGGGGTCAAGGATGACCCCCAGTTATCTGGTTTGGGTGACTGAGATGGTTGATGGTGTCAG